>NC_000002.12:13691071-13997827 GCF_000001405.40 Homo sapiens
ATAAAATAATTTTACCCATGATTTATTTATTTATCAATGCCATGAAATTGCATCTGGTTTCTGGAGAAGTTTTAAGAATTAGGCAGCTGGACAGTGACCTTGGAATGTTAGTCTCATTACTCTGCATTCCAGCCACTTCAGTCTGACCTCCTGTACAATAAGGAGGAGTTATCTCTTGACAGTACAGCAGCGATATCAAACAGTTTGTGAGCATTATCCAGGAAGAGGAGAGACTCCACTTTCACTTTCCACAGAATGCTAAAATCATCTTTTTTGGACTTCAAAGGCACTGAAAGAAAATACCTCAGGTATTCACAAAGATAGCATCTTAGCAGAGGTAAAGGTGATTCTGCTTATTGCCATGACTAAATGAAATAATGTTTATAAAGCACTTTATCCAGTTCCTAGTCCATAAGAGCTTGAGTATCATATATTTCTTTTCTAATGGGGTTAAGGTTTTTGTATTATCATTAATAAGTTGTTTATATTAATGTTAATATTTATTTTTCTAATGAATAGGTAATGACTGGAATGACACAGTCTTTCATGTTTTTACTAAGTGGTCACCGTTTTAAGGTATTGCCTCTTTTAATACACTTCTCTTTGCTAAGTACCAACATATGTTCCATTTCTGCCAGCACTCCATAGGATACGTGAAATGTGAAGAAGTCTCTGTGTCTATACTTTTAATCACACATCAAATGAGACACAACTTAAACAGAGAAGTCACTAACAGATATCGGCATACACTACATGCCAAGTTGGTAGATGAGAGTCACTATTTTATCATGACTAAGTACATGACTTTACTCATGAAGCTTTATTCTAGTGAAGGCTCTGAAACCTAGGAAAAGTAACCTATGCTTTCTTAATCCACTTATTATTATTCTTATGACTTGCTTTGTAAAACAGAAATACTACTGCTACCTATCAAGTAGTGTTCTGAGGTTTAATGTGATCAATATGTATAAAGCAGTTAGCTTTTAAAGAATGTTGAGAGATGTGAGGGCTTATGTTGCTAAAATCCCAATTTGTGAGTTGATATGGTTTGGCTGTGTCCCCACCCAAATCTCATCTTAAATTGTAGCTACCATAATCCCCATGTGTCATGGGAGAAACCTGGTGGGAGGAAATTGTATCATGGGGGTGGGTTTTTCCTGTGCTGTTTTCATGATAGTGAATAAGTCTCACGAGATCTGACGGTTTTACAAAAGACTGTTCCCCTGCACATGCTCTCTTGTCTGCCACCATGTAAGACATGTCTTTGCCCCTCCTTCACCTTCTGCCATGATTGTGAGGCCTCCCAAGCCACGTAGAACTGTAAGTCCATTAAACCTCTTTCCTTTATAAATTATCCAGTATCAGGTATGTCCTTATAGCAGTGTGATAATGGATTGATACATGAGTGCACAGGAACTTGGCTGGTTGATGACTGAAGAAGTAGGCAAGGTTTTCATCAAAGCATCTCTCAAATGCATCCCTTCCCTCAATCCTCATTCCCAACCACTACATTCCCAGTATGTTGTCAGTCCTAAGTTTGCTCTTTGGTTGTTAGGAAATTCACCAACTTCACTTCAGAAACCAAAGATAGGAAAGAGGTGAAAGTATAGCTTATTTTATTATGTAATATTATCCTCCTCTTATCTACACAGTTATCAGGTTAATCACCATTGTCATCCTCATCTGCTATTCATGTAATCACTCTGATTTTTCCTAGAAGGCTCTTGTCCAATGATTTTATTTGCTTTTCTCGATGGGCTATGTACTGCTATATTACTTCCCTGCTAATTTGGTTTTGGACTTTACATATATTCTAATTTATTTGCCATGTACAAACTCAGCTTTAACAGTGATTAGTGTAGCACAATTTCTACCTATTGAAATGAAAATAACAAGGTAATGTTAGAAGGCAAACATATCTACAAATGCAGTTTGAATCCCCGGCTATACTAATTATGTAAGTGATTTTATTATATTTTATATCCATCCCATTGACTAATATTACACATTTTTATAGACAATTTCACAAATACTGAACAAAATTAAGTTGGTGAGAAAGGGGATTGTATTCTGTATCTCTACTATGCTTCAGGAACATTGTATTTCAAATTTTCTCATTTAATTATATGATAAAAATGTTTTGATCAAATATTCATATATGGAGACTGCTGTAGATTTTGGGAATAAAGGTAAACATGAGACAAGCATGGGTGCATTTCACATTCCTAATTTTTAAACTCTAAAAATTGTCTGTTGTTTTCTACCCAATATAAAATTAATTCCCAAATATGCTTTGAACATTGGATATTTTACAAGTAAGAATATTAAAACCCTAAGTAGTATAGACTATCGAGGGTGAGGTGGCTGTAAATGTTTATTAGCAATCCGCATATCTTGTTCTTACCCTTAATTTTGCTTCATAAATAAAAGGATGGAAATTGACAAAAAGGTGAAGTCCTTAGGGTTTATAATGGATGATTTTGTAAAACAGGAATCTTAAGACATTCTGCCTATCAAGGCTGAATGTACATACACTTGAGAATATATATATGATATGTATACATATTAATATAATATATAATAAGTATTAAATAAGTAAAGTTTTAAAACTTGTCCAAGCGTAGAACTAATAAGGAGTCCATCTGGGATTCATATTCTGCTGTGTGACTGCCTTTATCCTTGACAATACTTAATCTTTTGGTAAATTGAATACTTGACTACTGATTTTAGCATAAGAACCAAGTATAAAATATATTTATTTTATATAGATATAAAATATATCTTATTTCATATAAAATATAATACTTATTATATAATACATTATTATATATAATGTATCTATCTTCATATAATGTATATATAACATATTATATGTCTTAAATGTATATTATATATCTTATTTTATATAAAATATAATCATAAAATATAATATTTATATAAAATATACATATGTATTATTTTGTAAATAATAAATATATTATACATATATTTTTAATGATATATAATAATAAATATATAATACTATCTAATAATTATAATAAATATGTATAATAAACATATTATTTTATTAATTTTATTTATAAATAAATATGTCTTATTTTATATAAAATATAACATTATTTTATAAAGAATAAATATATTTAATAATATATACTACTAAATATATAAATACTATATAATAATTATAATATACAATGCTATTTTATACATTTTATTTTATACATAAATATAATATTTTATATAAAACTTATTTCATATATTATATATAAGTATAAATATAAACTTATAAATTAGTACAGATAAGTATTATATATGTATAAATATAATATTTCATATATTATATATACTTATTCATGTATTATATAAGTATTATATTTTACATAAAATGAGATAATATATTTTATACCTATATATAATAAATATTATATTTTATATCTTGTTCTTATGCTGAAATCAATAATCAAGTATTCAATTTACCCAAAGACTAAGTATTTTTAAGGGAAAAGTCAAGACAGAGTCACACAGCAGAATATAAATCGCAGATGGACTCCTTGTTAGTTCTATGTTTAGACAAGTTTTAAAACTTGCTTCATCTCAGTTGTGTTTCTTCATCTGTTCACTGAGCATAATAATACTTTATATCTATCTATCAGATTATCTGAGGTTTAAATGATAAATATGATTCTATATAAATATTGTGTACTCAAATAGTATTAGATTTCACTAAATAGGAGCATTTTAGCTATAATATAGGACATTTTCAAAGCATTAACCATCATATCATATTAGTATACTGCTGACCAAGCAAAGTGGATCACTGACAAGTCTGAAGGAGAGTTGATAAACTAAAATTTATAGTTTTAGATTTTGCTAATTATATTTCTACATGATTTCTCAAAAATTATTTTCTCTACTATTGTCATAAGAAAAAATACCTCCTTTTCAAGGGGTCATCAGAAACTTGTTTATCTTATAGTTTATAATAATACTAATGAGAATTTATTTATTTGTTTGTTCAAAAAATATTTAGTGTCCACCTGTTTCCCAATTACTGGGCCACGTACTGGGAAAGAATGAGAATGTTTAAAAAACAAACAAGCAATCTGTCTTTGTGGTACAGTTTTAAAACCTGTAATTTAAATAGATCCCTAATGTGTTCACACAACATATTTCATTGAATCTTGATAGTAAGCACGTGAGGTGGGTGTTGTAAATATTGAGACAATTTTACTGATGGAAACAATAATGATCAGAAAGTAAAAGAGTTTCTTACCTTGCCTAATAATTCCAAATCTCATACCAACAGCACACATCCTAACAGAAGATGTGTATTGTGTGCAACTATTAGTACACAGTGCACCCAGATTGTGGGTTTTCATGACACAATTGTCAGCAGATATTGGCTCTTTATTGTTTTTAGGGCTTACCTCCATTACCAGATCATCCGTAATTTTCCTTTTTTTTATACTTGCCATTTCCAATAGCCTGGATCAGGTCTCCTCTTCCATCAGTGCATATAATTGAGAGCTGACTTGCAGTGTGAGAAAGCCTATATTGAACCATTTTCTTAATCTAAAAAAATTTCTTTCACCCTCATAATTTTCTGCTTCTTGTTTGAGCTGAAGAATAATAAATGCTTGATTACTTTTTCTTTTATAGCTGCAAGTATTGTCTATTTCTAGAAAACAGCTATTTGTATATTACATTTTACAAAAGATTAGATCTATCACCTCATTACCTGAGGAGTATGCCTCCATACATAATGTTTATCTTGCAATCTTTCCTCTACCCTCCCTACTTCAATTATCTTTCTCCCCTTCTGATTGTTTGGCATGTATTGCCTGAATTAGTAGGCCATGAAATGTTCTTTTTCCTATAACTCAGTCCCTGACATTTCCAAATCTTCCTTGTGAGAGATATCAAAAAGGAGCACTTCATTTCTTTACAGAATTAATAAGATGTGTGGCCTTAATTGCAACCTTTTTTGCTAATTAAAATGCAGCAGGAATGCATAATGTCTGAATTTGCTGCTGGAAATATTCATGATTTTAAAATTTTATGCTTTTGAAATTGTACCTTTTTTGTATATTGAAATATATACGAATATACTGAATCCTGTTGCACAAAACAATGAAGATGGAAAAAAAATAATTTCATTGTTCATTGCCATTTGTGGCACTCTACCATAGTGAGTGTATTTTGTAATCGTAATTCATTAAGAGCAAGAAAGAGATTTCTGATTCTTACTAAATTTGTTCTCGTGTTTTACTTGGACAATAGAAATTGCATCCTTAAAGCACTAGCTCACAATTTCTACAGATTAAAAATTGAATAACCTCAAATGCTCAGGAATATCATCTGAAGATATACAGAATTATTTTTACATGGCAACTTGAACTATGTCCATTCACAAAGACCAATTATGTATATTAAAAAACAATTTGGTCGAAGTAAGACTTTAATTACATATAAATGTGAATTAATCCTGATTGCTTTCTTAGTATTAAAGTTCTGAAAATGGGAACATCTGTCTATAGAATATTTTCTAACATATAAACATTCTTTTGGTTACTATTGATGATTTTTATACGCTTTTCTCTAAAATGTGCTTGAATGGTCATAGATGAACATAAATTCTATGAGACAGAAGTCCCCATTGCATAGGGAGATAACTGCTCTATCTACTTGCCTCAGACTTTCAAATTTTTAAGGTTTTACTATCTCTCTCACAAGTACCTTTTAGTAGGCTTAATCTTTTACTTCCTTCTGGCATTTATACGATTACGAGTACATTCTCAAATATGCCAATGTGAGCATTTGAACTTGACAACAAAGGGCATGTCTTGACATGCAGAGATGCGTAGACTACCTGCAAATAGGCGCATATTTTTTTAAAGACAGTAGTTAGTTCCAAATATATTATTTTATGGATGAACAATTTAATCTAAAGGGGACTATATCAGGATATTGGAATCACTTATTGGACCATAAGAATTGAAACCTAGATCAAATAAATTTGAGTAGAAGGAAAAGGTAAGAGAATGACACAAAAAGCACCCAGAGGAGAGTATTTCTGTGTAAACAGGTAAATTAATAGGTGGATATTTAATACACAAATTCACATTTGTTTCAAGATTGGCCTTGTGTGTATGGATACTAAAAAGGAAATAACGCTAATGCTTCATTCATTTTTTTATTCCAAATAATTTTGCTAAGCCCCATTTATAGCCAACTCACTGTTAGACACTTTGTTTTAAAGGTGAAAGAGTTAATACATTTGCTTCCAAAGAACTTACTAGTAAAGTTACACACACACACACACACACTCACACACACACACATACACACACAGAGAATGAGAGAGAGAATTACGTATTCTATAGGAAATAAAGGTAATATAGAAAATCTAAACTACCATTCAACTGTAAATTTTTTAAAAAGGAGGTATTTTACTTATACAATTTTGAGTGATAAAAAAGGAACATCTTCAAATAATGAGTCTAAAAGAATAATGCAGGTTGTCCGGGTGTGGTGGCTCACGCCTGGAATCCCAGCACTTTGGGAGGCTGAGGCGGGCGGATCACGAGGTCAGGGGATCGAGACCATCCTGGCTAATACAGTGAAACCCCATCTCTACTAAAAATAGAAAAAATTAGGCAGGCGTGGTGGCGGGCACCTGTAGTCCCAGCTACTCAGGAGGCTGAGGCAGGAGAATGCATGAAACCGGGAGGCAGAGCTTGCAGTGAGCCGAGATCACACCACTGCACTCCAGTCTGGGCGACAGAGCAAGACTCCGTCTGTCTCAAAAAAAAAAAAAAAAAAAAGAGAGAAAAGAAAAATGCAGATAGCAGTGACTTATGTTCTAGATGTGAATTTTATGTTTTCTTTATGACATGTTTTTGTATTGTTTGTTTTTTGAAATATGACAGGGGAAACTGAAAACATTCCTCTTTTCTTTTCTATGGAAAAGGATTATGAAGAGAAGTCTAGAAGATCTCCTTTCAAACCTGTTACTAACTTCCAGTTTCAGTCTTGACCTGTAAAAAGTGTAGAAATTGGAATTTCCATAGTTACAAGGAAAAGCTACACAAAGAGAAAATGAATGGCTTTTCCAGGGCCCATTAGAAAACTGAGGAGAAACACACACACACAAACACTCACGCACAATCATCTTCAACCAGCTGCAGCCCAAAGACAAAGGAAGACGTCTTGAAAGAATCCAGAGGGCATAAAACACTTCTTGTTTGTAGAGAAGCCAGCATTGGAATTACAGCCGACTTCTCATGATAAACCATGCAAGCAAAGAGGGGGTGGAGGAAAAACGTTTTAAATATTGAAAGAAAAATAAACAATGTAGAAATCTGTATTGTGACAACTCTGAGGTTAGAGATTGTCATTATCATTATCGACATTTTACAGATGAAGAAATTGAGGCACCAGTGAGAATAAGTCAGTTTTCCAAAGTCACATTAGTAGTAAGTATCAGGGCTGCTGTATGAACCCACACAGCATGACTACAGAATCTATGTTGTTATCCATTACTCTGTACTGAATTTGTCCATTTACTTTTATCATAACATTTATGTGTTTTATAACATCTGTGTGTTTCCATGGCAACCTTGATGACTAGATTATGAGTTTTGCATTAAATAACAGATTGTCTTTGTTAATAAATGAAAGAATGAGTGAACAGGAGTAACTAAACTTTGGCATAATGACATATATCTGTCTTCAGTTCTTTCAGATTTTAAATTACTACATGGACTGTGGCAGAGTAATTCGAGTAAATCTAAAGTCTAAACAGTTTGGATTTTTGTATAAACTAGCTCATATTTACTTTAACAAACTACTAAAAAATTTTCAATCAAATGATTTAAGATTTTGCTGAGCATTCATTCTGTGTCTGTACTGAGCACAGAGGGAAACCTTTGGTGATGACTTTGTTGTGGCTGCAGCACTGGGGTTGTGGAGATAAGCCACACTACTGGGAGTCTATGAGGTAACAGGACATGACAAGCAAAATTTTGTTCTAAGTTGTGAGTCCCTAACTGTGAGAGGAGAAAGGAGACCTACACATGATGGAATTAGTATGAGAAAAATTCTTCCACAGGATTCTTTATTATTTTTTAAATTTCTCACCATATTCATTGAGGGGTAGACTTCTACCTTGATAAAATTCATCAGCTATGCTTTTCTTTTTAGAAGAACATATTATGCTATTGCTAATTAATTTAGAAAGTCAGTGGAATTGCTTTGTGATTTTATCGTTAATGCCTATCAAGGGTCATACATTTGCCAGGCATTTTGGAAGTACTGAGCAAAAAGAGATAAGCAAAGAGACATTCCCTGGATTCAGAGTGCTGGTGGTCAGCCTACAGATATACAAACAAATCCTTAAAGTGTTCAAACTATTAAACATACTGTACTACAGATGTATAGGCAGTATGGACTGACAAGCAAATTTACCATGAAGATTAAGCTTGAGGATCTCTCACTCGTATGTGTCACTTCCAAAGTTTAGTATGTTGCCTCCAAGAACATGAAAAGAAGCACTACCTTGGCCACTCTCTGACAGCCTGAGGACTGCCCCAACCTGGTGATTACATCTAAGCCAGTGGTTTGCAAGTAGGGGACAATTTTTATTCTCAGCTAATGTTTGCCAATGTCTGGAGACATTTTTTATTATAATAACTCATGGGGCAGGAGTGCCATTGGCATCTAGTGGTAGTGGTCAGGACTCTGCCATACATTGTGCAATGCACAAGACAGCCCCCTATGACAATTGATTCTTGAGTTTAAAATGTCAATAATACTGTGGTCCAGGGACAATAAGAATGTGAGCAAACTCTGCTCAGCTCTCTAGAGAAGGAGGGTGATACGGTTTGACTCTGTGTCCCCACCCAAATCTCATCTTGAATTGTAATCCTCATGTGTCATGGGAGGGACCTGTAATCCCCATGTGTCGAGGGAGGGAGGTGATTGGATCATGGGGGAAGTTTTTTCTCTGCTGTTCTCATGATAGTGAGTGAGTTCTCACAAGATGTGATGATTTTCTAAGCACCTGGCATTTCCGCTGCTTGCACTCCTTTCTCCTTCCACCTTGGGAAGAAAGTGCTTGCTTCCCCTTTCACTTTCCACCATGATTGTAAGTTTCTTGGGGCCTCCCCAGCCGTGTGGAACTGTGAGTCAATTGAACCTCTTTCCTTTATAAATTACCCAGTCTCAGGTATTTCTTTATAGCAGTGTGAAAATGGACTAATACAGAGGAAAAGGAAGAGTGATTTAACAAATGAGACTAGAGAGGACCTGGCCAAACTACTTGACGTGGCTGGCTCCTTCCCACCTCAAGAGAGCCTGGGTCTAAATTTATTTTCTAACCAACTGATATGTAAACCAGTCTCTCTGATCTCACATATTCCTATGTGCTTATCCTCCATTTAATTCCACTAATTTTTACCATCCCTTCATTTCTTGTTTTCACTCTGATGTTTCAAATTCTATAAAATACATTCGAGGAATTCATTTATTCTTTATTAATTATTTTTATTAGGTAATTAATTTTCAGATATTTCTTCTAATTACCATCTGAAACATTAGTCACTTTTGCATATTTATTCAATTTAATAATCTATTTCTTTGACTTTAATTTTTTTAAAATGGAAATTCCTTTTTTGCTTTGGGTTAATGTCAAAGTATCAACAAACATTTTAACTTTAAAAGCAGATGGAACTTATCTATTGTTAAATAATCACCACTGCTTGAGCTGTATTAGCAAACCCTTATTTCAATTTTTATATTCACTTTCAAAATGTATTAGGCATTTGGATTTTCAAAGAACTGAGCAGGCAGATATTCAAGATTTTATGAAGATTTATAACTGCATTTCATTAAATATATGTTTGGAACTAGTGCTTTAATAAGAAATACTGGGCTTTTTAATTTTTGAAACATAGCAATACGATGACCAAAAATAAAGTAGTAAGAAGAAATGAATGTAAATTCTATAATTTATGAAAAATGTATTTGAAAACATGGAGTGATAGAAGTAAATTTCTTTCTTCTTTAAGTTCCAAGAAATTATTATGTTTGTTAGAATCAAGTTAATAGATTTAGCTTTATAGAACAAGTTGTATAACTTCTAACAAGGGGAAGGACATAGCATACGAAGAAAATAAAAAGGAAGAAAAGAAAAAGCGATGAAAAAGAGAAATGAGACAAATGAAGAGGGATGAGGTGCCGGAGGAGGTGCAGGAGCACGGAGGCATCCCTGCAAACCACCCAGGGCTACTAGTTCCAAAATTAGCAAAAGTAAGCCTAGCATATTATTTGAGGAAAATTAAATATTGAATAACAGGTCACATTGCTCTTCTTTCTGAATTTATAAGGCCTTTGAACCAATAATCTAATACACATTAAGAATTAATGTCACATACTTTATTATCTAGGAACATTATACTTCATAACCCCCATTAAGATAACGGCACTGGGTCACTTGAGTACAGGTTGGGATGACAGATATGCTTTTGAATCCAAGCCTATTTTAGATTAGTGACACACGCCTGGCCTTCTGAGACATCATTTGGTCCTTTTCCTCTCTTTGCTTTCTAGTATTTGTACATTTAATGAGAAATTTCAGTATGGATAAATGAGATGTGTGTATTTGTGTGTGTGTGTGTGTGTGTGTGTGTGTGTGTACTTAAATTCTTATTGCAAATATTTATGTTGTCATGAAGTCTGGAAATCTATACACCCACAAGCATAAAAAATTACTTTGCAGTTACAAAACTTGATGTAATTCTTATAAATGATTGCCAAAAAAGTTAATTTTATAGTAAATCTTATCTATTAAAAAGCTGTGAAGAAATGTAAGCATATTTTCTGTGAATATAGAACACTATTTGAAAATAGCTTCATCAAATAATCGTGTAATAATAAACAAGCATACTAACAAACAAAACCAAAACTATTCTCACTTGTCTTCACCTTGTTAGATATTTAGAGTAAGCATTATCTCAGGGAAGCTTTTCCCAGATTCCTTTTGTTGTTGCTATGCTGTGGTTGTTTAAAATAAGTCTCACAGATTTTAATTTAATATTCATCACATGATTATTTAACTAGTGTTTATATGCCCTGACAGACAAGTCTTGGAGGAGACAACAAAGTGTACATCTGTTTTACATCCAGTGATTAACATATGATAGGAGTACCGTATACATGGGAATTGAATAAGTCCAGGACAGCCTCTGAGAAGGACAACTGTGTCAGGTCATATAACTTGCTTGCCTTGCCATGGTGACCCAAGTGTTAAATAATTTTTCTCTGATATAACTTCAAATGTCTCACTTTCTATGTTACTCCAAGATGCCACAACGTGGGACAAACAGCTTAATCAGCCATATCCTCAGTCTCTCTATAGTCATTAATGAGGAAGCATTGCTTATAAATATCAAGTGATGACGGTTTATACCCAAACCTGTCTTGATTCAAAGTGATAAAGTGAGAAGGCTGGCTATGAGGTAGCATATTCACCAGCTATTACATGTTTTTTCCAAATGTATCTCCCCAGTGTTCAGCAGGGTTTGTCTTACTAAACGTTAGAAGATCGTGCTAATTAATAAACAAGTGAAGACATCGAAGGGATGAACTGAACATTAAATAGTCCTACTGCAGGCTTTAAATAAAATCTTCTCATACCATGAGGGGAAAAGAATAACATGGACTGCCTTTTAATAACACACATCTATTAATACATATTCTTTGTATGAAATTATTTTTACCCAAACATATGAGAAAAGCCATTTGAAATTCAATTTTTAAAAAAAGCTACAAAAAATTGTTATGCCCAGTTCTGCAGAACAAGAACGTTTTATGTTTTATTTTATTTCATCTTGTTTTAAGCTCGGTGGATTAGAATTTGTTAGCTCATTGGATTGTAAAATATACCTCTGTAGAAAACTATTATTGAAGTGCTTTGTCATTGGAGCATAGAAGCTGACATCCTGTAGGATTATTCTGCTAGTGATTTCATATGCAGGGCTCATTGGAGCCATGTCTATTTGTTCTGCTGACAAGCCAAAGACCCTAAAGTTTTAAAAGTATTGAGTTAGGTTTAACAACATCTCTGCATTTTCTAAAAAGAAATAAAATATTTAGAGAAGGCCCAGTTTTAGGAAACCACAAAAAACTGTCACTGAAAACCACTGTGTTTTTACATTATGAGGCGCCAAGCAGATGTGATAAACTGTTTATCTAAGGGCCTATCCGCAGAAGTCTTGTGGATTAGATAAAACCTATGAAACCTACCGTGTTCACTGTGCGAGAGTGAGAAGTCATTTTGCTTCCTTGGAGAAATCTATATGGGAGCACAGACTTTTGCATACTTGATTGTCATGTGTGTCACCTAGGGATGAAAAAGATAGGACGGACCCAGGGCAGCTTTTGGATGAGACAGAGAGCCTGGCAAGAAGCAAGGAGGTGATTACAGGGGTTTGAGCAAGAAACCACAGAGGAGCAAGTAGAATGATGAAAAGTCATGGAATTGGCCCCGCAGGAGAGAGAGAGAGAAGAAAGATGTTCATTATCTATGGAAAGGGAGAAGGTTGAATGGAGACCTAATCTTCAAGGAAAAGAAATATTGCTTATGGAACAATGAGCAGTGGCCTTTTCTGTTAACTGAGAGAATGAGTTAGAATTTTAGCTAGAAAAATTTAGGGTAAGCCTAGAAAAGAAATTTGTGCTGCAGTTTGGGAAACAAACAATCCATGTTACCAAGTAAAACTGCAGATATTCCTCTTGTAGAGATTTCTATATTACTCTGAAATCTGTAGGTTGATCGACTTCATCCAAAACTATAAATTTGTTTTTTTACGTTTGTTCCCAGCTTTTAACTCTGCATCATAGATTTCAAGGAGAAAGGCCTTACATGTGAGGCAAGCCTGGAGGCCACAATTTCCAACATTTTTAAATAATTACCTAAATTGCAATTGCATGGAGTCAGAAAAAACAAATAATGAACCGTGACACTGGAATCACTCCATAGATAATATTCAGAGTTCTAAGAATAAAATAGACGCATGTGTGTGTGTGTGTAATATTTAAGTACCAATCCCAAATTAACTTAATTAAATTGAATATCTGCCTATGGAGAGTTCAAGTTCCTTTCTATGCTTGAAATTTTGGTACATTAATTCTCCATGAAAGACGTCACAATCCAGGAGAGAAAATAGGTACCTATGCAATAACCATAACACAATATGATAAGTTAGGTATATGGGAAAGTTCTGAGGACAGACAGAAGAGGGAGTTCTTTCTTATTGTACTAGGGATAGAATATGATCCTTCTGGGGAGAAAATAAGAACAGAGGTGACAATCAGTTAAATAATGGAATATAATCAGCCTTTTACCAATTGGAAAAGAATGGAGTGGTTGGTTCAAGCCCAGTAGATACTATTTGGGAAAGAGTAGAGGCCTAAGATTTTGTAGTGATACTTGGACAACAGTGAGACATTAGCTGTATAAGCTGATCAGCTGTAGCACAATTGTTGGGGGTGGCAGGGGAGAGAGAGAGAGACAGACACAGAGAGCAGAAATGTAAGTAAGTTGGGCATTGTTAGGAATATAGAATGATGTGATAAAACTATCAGATTTTTTTCTGTAGGTCAGAAAAAATCTCTAAAATGATTGAGCATGAAAATGACAGGCTCAGAAATAATTTTATAAAGATAACTGAAAAGGAGTGGCAGAAAATAAGAAATGGTCAGGAAGGACACAATCAAAGTTATTACGACTGTCAAAAAGGTGATGAGGGTGACTAGAATCAGAATGTTCAGCAGTAAGAGTGGCAGTGAGGCAAATATTAGAGAGCCAAGTAAGCATTTGTTCATGCTAGAATCCATTAAATGTAGAAAAAGTCAATGTTTATATATATATATATATATTTTTTTTTCCCCGAAGTCTCTCTCTGTCACCAGGCTGGAGTGCGGTGTCACAGTCTTGGCTCACTGCAACCTACACCTCCCAGGTTCAAGCAATTCTCCTGTCCCAGCCTCCCGAGTAGCTGAATATTTTTCAGTTTTAAAATAATTTACATTAAATCATTTCTAATGTCTCTATGTGTATACCACACTCAGTGTAATATTGGGTATTACATTAAACCTAGGTGAATTTTTTCTTTTTGTAGGTCAGATATAATTAAATATCAGAAATTTGATACATTTCACCTTAATATAATTAGATGTTAGGTTGCCCATTAAATCATGGGACTGGGGTGAAAGAAGTGAGAGATCATTAAAAAAAGCATTAAATGTTAAGGTTCTGTTTTGAAAATTCCAAAGCCAGTGTTACTTGAAAAGAGGTTGGGAGGTGGTATGCATAGTATGTGTATCAGGGGATCCATGCCAATGTGTAGGAAACATCTCATTACCCTCAAGTCAAAATAAATTAAATTCCTTCGGAATGCTCTTCATGGGACATGCAAGCCATTATTTAACATACAGCATGAACCTGGCCCAAAGATGCAAAACAGGAGAAAGTCACTAGTGTAGTTCTTCAGCAGCATTCTTGCCAGAATCTGTTGGAATCCAGCATTTCCAATTTCTTTTTATTCATATGTTTTTGGCTAAAATAACACCAACTATTAATTAATGATTCCAGATTTTGTTTTTTCTTGAAAAATGTGAGTGGGTCTTGTCATTTCTTGATACACTATTTTTCTATCTGTTGACCCAACTGTCTGTCTGCTGTGGACTGAGTTGTAGCTCCCCCCAACTTAAATCTTCAAGCCCTAACCTGCAATGTGACAGTGTTTGGAAACAGATATTTTAGGAGGCAGTTAAGGTTGAATATAGTCATAACGGTGGGGTCTTAATCTGGTGAGACTGGTGACCTTATATCTCTCTCCCTGCTTCCTGAGACCAAGGAAAGACCAAGTGAGAATACAAGGAGAAGAGGGCCACCTGTGAGACAAGGAGAAAGAACTTAGAATAAACCGATCCTGTCAATGGCTCCAGCCTCTAGAACTATGAGAACATACATTTCTGTTGTTTAAGCATCCTGCTCTGTGGTATTTTGTTAAGGCTTCACTATCTGTCTAGCTATCTATTTTCTATCATCAATCTACCTCTATTGTGTCACATAGGGTAAAAACAAGCAAAACCGAACATATCATGCTTTACCTCCTGCTTCTCTGGTGAAGTGAGTGCCCTGGCGTGATAGGCTCACCCTGCCTCTGATCCTGTACATGTTCTCCTCTCAGCCTTAACCCAATTATGCCTGAGGTTGCAGTTTTTTGAATTCTTGCAATCAGAGCTTTGTGATGACCTTGAGCAGTAGGATATAAATAATTCCTACATGCTTAGCATTCCAATAATGGAACACTAGACATATGGGTTAAGAAGAGTATAAGACGTAAGAAACTAATAAGTAAGATCATGAAGTTAAAATAACAAAAGCAAAACAAAACCCCAAATCTTTTGATCCAGCTACCTATGACTTACAAATTGTAAAACCTTAAACCTAGTTAATCATTCTGAACCTCATTATCCTTCTCTAAGTAATGGAGATAGTCACTACTTGAACATGCACACATGTGTGAGAATTACAGGAGACAACATATGCAATGCTCTCTCTTGTCTCAGCTCTCCACTTTCCCTACAAACTATTCATTCAAACTTCAATCCCCAGTCTATCTACTCCAGGGTGCCTTTTCAGGTGACTAAAATATGTTTATTTTCTGGCTCTCCAGATTGACTTCATAGATCATATTTCATTTGAACTTCATGTTTAGTCTGAACTCAACACTTTTTAGCATTTCAGGGAGCAAATACTATGACTAACAATTAATGGAACTAATTATATATACATAATAATATATAATACATAACATAGAATATAGACTACAGAATACTATATATATTATATAAATGTAACACATATAATAATATATGTATCTACCCACACATACACACACACACTCATATGTTCAAAATACCCAAAAGATTTTGTGTTTAGTGGTTAACCAAACAGAAAAGCCTCTGGCAGTATAAATTCAAACCAAGAAATTTCACAAGAAATTAAATAAAATAAATAAAAACTTTTCTGATGTAGTAGTGGTTTTGAAATTAAGGGCAAAATATGATAAACTGCAAATCATACTGAAAGAAAGAACTTACAATTCTTGCCATACCCAGTTGACTACACTGGTACTTCTGCTGACAATAATCAAAATGCTGTTATAAAACAAACAAACGTCTTTAATACATCCCTGACACAGCAGTAAAAATTACTCTGGATAGAAAACTAGCAATAACTGTCTTATCACCTTGATAAGAGAACATCTGTTCAGAAAATTTGGCCCTGAGCAGAGATTAAAAGAAAAAATGCATTTCTTTTTCCTGAAATTTTGTGACCATGCACTAGTCCTGAGGTAGATAGATATCTCTAGCAAACTACCTGGATGACCCAAAATGATGCAGGTAGCAAACACAGTTTAAAATCCTAACTCATAGATCTATAGTGATTGCAGGAACCTGAAAGAAACAAAGAAAAAATTTTTTTCAGGAAAAATTTCCATCAGAAGTTAAATATTTCAAATAATGCCTGTAGATAAAATAGAAGGCTAATTTTCACATTAACATAATAAATATACAAGATAATGCTTTCATTAGTAAAAACAAAAAAGTTATACCTAGAATAATCCTCAAACTCATTAAATAATGGATACAAATAAAAAACAATTTTGTTTATGTTCATTGGTTTCAATAAATAAGGCAAAGACAAAAATGTGGGCAAGGCAGTTTTCAAACTATTTCTAGTAGAAATCTAAGAAATAAGAATATGTCAGTTGAGATCCAAATGTCATATCACTTTAATTTTGGACTAGATGTAGGTCAAGAGAGAATACATGATCTAGAAAAAAGCATAGGGGTTCATACTGGGTGCTCTAATACAAACAATACCTATTGAACTATTTCCTTAACCTTTTCAAGGCTTGATTTATATATCTTTGAAATGGGTATACTAATCAATTCATAATTCTGTGACAATTAAGTGATACTATATATTTTAAAATATCTAAGATAGCAACTTGTAAGTTGGAGGCACTTGTTACATAGACAACAACTTAAAAAATTAAAAACATATATTTGTATCATGTCACCATCTTTGTTTTCTTGCCTTTGATGCACCAGAGAAATTGTAAAGACTTCTATTTTTCTTGTGAGATTTGCCCAACAGTTTATGTTTTAAGATTTGATGGAAACAGTTGGTTGAAAGACTTGCTTAGATTTATCAAGTTTGGTCACCTGTTTATCTATTAACTAGTAATCAACACAGTTTAGTCTATAGCCATAGGACATTTTTGGAACTTTTTTTGTGAATTAGTCATAATTACTCATAAGGATTTTAGATCTCCTGAAACTAATAACAAGCTAAGTGTTTTCCAGTTAGAAAGTGACCATAATTCTATGAAACACCAGCAGGTAAGCCCAAGGTATCCTAAGAGGTGGAGGAAGTGTTTTTCAAGGGATGGCAAGGGCCATGAATATAGGATACCATGATTTATCATTACTAAAGCTCTTGGTACTGTTGAAAAGATAACTCCACTTTCCAGCCATAGCCAAAAAAAAAAAAAGAAAGGGCACTGCAAACTGCAGGTAGAGTGCAGAAATGATTCACTCAAATACTGGGCCTCTTGTTGGAACTGTGAAAGAAGGCAAGAAGAGGAGGCAAATAAGTGAAGAAGAATGATTGTTGTGATAACTAATCTTATGTGTCAACTTGGCTAGTCTACAGGACCCAGATATCTGGTCAAATACCAGTCCAAATGATGCTGTTAAAATGAGATTATCATTTAAATAGTGACTCTTCCTAAGGTGGTAAGCCTCATCTAGTCAGTTGAAGGACGTAAGGGAAAAGGACAGAGATCCTTCAAGAGAGAATTCTGTCACAGTCTGCCTTGGGACTTGAACCTCAAGATCAACTCTTGCCTGCTTCTTTTTGCTTCTAGACCTATAACTAGACTCATGTCTCAGCCACCCACTAAAAGTGATGTACAAAGTGTAACCAATGAAGAAATGTGCTATACTCCAAAAGAACTACATGATATCTCGAATTTATATGGACAGAAATCTAGAGAGCATGTATGAGAATGAATATTAAGGATGTGGAATAATGATGGAATCAACATAAATTTGGATAATGCCAACTTTATTGTTATGAATCCATGCTTACACTAATGTATGACTGTGTATGTTCTGAATCAGCATCCAGTATATGGTGCTGTTTCTTCCGTAGCCGGGATTCTTGTGTTCAGGATCAAAGAGGTGGAAATGGAAGAGTTACCACTTACCATTACCCCTAGTGATCCACTAGTAAAATTTTTGCTTCCTGATAGATTATGCTCTGCTGACCTTGAGGTCTTAGTTCCAAAGGGAGAAATGCTTCCAGCGGGAGACACACAATGATGTAATAGAACTGGAAGTGAAGACTGCCTTCAGACCACTTGGGCTTCTCATGTCTCCAAATCAACAGGCAAAATAGGGAGTCACTGTGCTGGCTGGGGTGATTGATCCTGATTACCAAGGGAAAATTGAACTAGTAATCCACAACGGAAGTAAGAAAGGGTGTGTCTGAAATATAGCAGCTCCCTTAGGGCATCTCTTCATATTCCCATATCCTGTGATCAAGGTCAATGGAAAACTACAAGAACCCCCTTCAGGCAGGACTACTAATGGTCCAGATACTTCAGGAATGAAAGTTTGGTAAATAATCACAACCAGCTGAGGTGCTTGTTGAGGAAAGAGGGAAAATGAAATGTGTAGTGGTAGAGGGTAATTATGAATACTAGCTATGACCACATGAACATTTACAGAAAAGAAGACTAATTGCCATGAGTATTTCTTCCTTATTTTGTTATGTTTGTGTGTGAATATTTTATATATATGATATTATATATATATCACATATATAAAATATTTTCTTCATTCTTGTATCCCCTTATAATATGTATTGACTTTACATCATAGTTTTAAGTATTGCTAGCTTAATATTATAATATTTAAGTTACAAGATATTAAGGAGAAGAGTGAACATCACCCAAGCACTCTGTATCCTTTTCTGGAAAAAAAGGTTATGCATTTCAGGTTGTATGCAGGATGGTTGTATCATGTTAGGAGGAAATACGACATTGTTATTTATTTCTATTTGGAGATTAAGTATGTAAAGTTTAAGGATATGTATACCAATGCCAAGTTGACAAAGGGTGGACTTGTGATAGTTAAATTTATATGTCAACTTGGCAAAGCCATGATATCCAGATATTTGGTCAAATACCAGTCTAGATGTTGCCGTGAAGATATTTTTTAGATAAGACTAACATTTACATAGGCAGACTTTGAGTAAAGCAAGTTATCCTTTGTCTTAGTCTGTTCAGGTTGCTATAAGAAAATACCATAAATGAAGTGGCTTATAAACCAGAGACATTTATTTCTCACAGTTCTGGAGACTGGGAAGTCCAAGATCAAGGAACGGTTTCCTGATTCATAGATGATACCTTCTTTCTGTGTCTTCACATGATGTAAGGAGCAAGAGTCTCTCTTGAGTCTGTTCTACAAGGGCAGTCATCTCATTCATGAGAACTCCATCCTCATGACCTTTCAGAGAGAGAAAGAAAGATAAAGGATGTGGTTAAAAAACATTATGCAGGAAATGCTGAAAGTATTGATACTCTAGATTATCAACTGAATTAAAATTATAATGCCACAACCAAAGTAACTAGGAAAATGAGATAAGAATTTTGTGAAATACTCTACCTTTATAGTATATCAAAATTATATAAATAGTGATCCTAATCTGCTCTATTAATTTTTCTTTTTAGGTGTCAATATTACCCATTTGAAATAACATATAATCATTGTTGTACTTTTGTAGACAGATTATGTTAATATTCTTTATTTTTCAAAAATTTTATTGTTCTCATGCTTTTTTCCTCCTAAGATGAATTTTACAATTATTGTCACTACTCCAAAAAACAATTCTGCCTTCTGAGGCATTTATTTAAATTGCCTGAATCATTGCCATATTTTTTTTCTTTTTGGTATGCCTAATAATTTTCATCTTTGGCTCAATTTTAAATGATTTTCTGAATTTTTTATTAAACTTTTCAGGTTCACTTGCAGTAATCAGTCTTTGTCCTTTAAATGTGTTTTTAAAAAGGCCACCCATTAGTTCATGAGTTAATAATTGTCATGTGTTTGGCCTCTCCGTGTTGCCCTGCAACTTTCTATCTCGCTTCTTTCCAATTCAAGGACTCTGTGTTCTCTGACTTGATAATTTTGTGTTCTGCCCCTGTGTTTTGCATTCTGCTACATGCTTCTGCAGAAAAAGTACTACAATAATTTGTTCCTTTTGATGCAAGTAACTTTCTTGTAGATGATTGAGCTGAAAATGGGTTCCCTTGTTATGCAGAAATGTAGACTTTTTTTCTTCTTCATATATAGCATCATTAAACATACCCTCTGGCTGCAAGAGTTTAGAGATGTTCTTTATTATTCATCATTCCACACCAACATACCCTTCAGAATTATATTTACCTCAGATAACATTGACATCTAAAGAGGACTTGGAAGGCTATGCACCTTGAGGGTCATGTTGCTCTAAGCATGGCTTTGGGCAATTTCCTGTTTGTGTATTAGGTGGATGTGAGTGTGTGTTGTGTTTATGCGGGTTAACTCACTCTTTTATTCATTTAACTATTAATAGTATTCGTTAATTAGCTATGTCCTTTCAGGTATTATATTATTGCAAAAGATGGAAACATTTAGAAACCGTGGTTGCCACCCTGAAATAGGTTAGTCTACTCTAATAATAGGCAAATAAACCTAATGTTTTAGAAGACTTTAGTAAGCATTATGAAAGTAGAAAACATGGGAAGGGGCTCCACAGGAAAAGAGCTAAACTCCAACTGTTGGATAATCAGAGGAAGCATCCTTGTGAGCATTGCAACTGAACCAAATCTTACAAGATGAGAAATTAGCCAGGCAGAGCGTGGATACAGACCTTTCCTACAACAGAACACAAGTGTATATAATACAGCAAATGAGACAAAACAGAATGCCTTCAGATTTTTCAAGCAGATCTATAAGTCTTAAGTCTTACAGACTTTATGTCTCCTTTGATGAGGTTGCCGGCTTAAAGCATTACTGAAGGAAATATGATTACAAGTAAACCTTACTGTGAAGAAAATGTGGTGAGAGTTGTGGCTGGCAACTAGAGAGAATGACAGAGATTAAACAGAATGGTTTGCAAAATAAATTGTGCATATGGTTCCTTAATTCCTGAAGAATCAAAGGCTTTTCAGTGATCATTTTGTTGTGATGTATCTACACTTAAAGTCTTGGAAAGACTAGAGTAGCCAGCCTTCAAAACATACCTGGTGGAAAAACTACTAATTTCATGAGTGAATTCAAGAACAGCAATCTCTATAGTCAACATTGTTTTGTTAGTCAACTATTTAGGCCATAGTCAACTCTTTAGCCATTTCTTCGGATTTCATTTTCATGAGAATTATAAATCTATGGCCCCTCCACTGTAGTGAAGCAAAGATACAGGTGACATCATCCCACACTTTACTATTATGACTCTCCACCTCCCAAATCAAACCCGTCTTTGCAGAAACAGTTTAGTTCAGGACTTACTGGCCCCACCAAACCTTAATTGAGTAGAGCCATCTATTTCTCCTCTGACCCAATCTCTTGTACCAGCCAACCAACCCTATGACTGGGTTTTATTTTTCCTTGGAAACTTAACATAATTTATTATAGTTTCTTTTTATATTTTAAAATTAATTATCTGCCGATATTATCTTTGAGCACTTTCAAGGCAACTTGAAGATATGCTTTGCCCTTCTAGGTATAAAATAAAGCAACTACGACTATGTGTCAGGAACATAAGGTTGAATGAATACTTTTTAGAATTAGAGAACACAACACAAGGAATTGTGAAGAAAGACCATAAACCGGACTGCAACTCCTGCTCTGTAATATCTTTCATCCAAAATGAAGTACTATTTACACTCTGGATCTTTTCAAAAACTGAAATATGCAATGAATTGCTAAGAGTCTCGATAATTGCTTCATAATATGGAGAGCTTGTTCCACCCTAAATTCTATTTTTTATATTCCTCTCATTTGAAAAGTTATTTTTGCTTACAATAATGTAAGCTAAAATTTCATACGCAAGTGAAGAGCTTTTAGCTGACAGCCACGTCACATCAGTTTATCCTACTGAGTAATCAACAAGTTGAAGTCAGCTTCACGATGGTTCTCCTGTAATCATATTTTCTCCAATTATGCTTTACAAAGTCAGTTACCTCATCAAGGGAGAGAAAGACAATTGTCTCATATGAATTTAACCTATTAAAATAATGTTGCTTGTTAGACACAAACTATTCTCTTTCTAAGTAATATAATAAGCTCTTTTACAATAATTTAATTTAAAATGTATCTTGCATCAAGGTGAAGGTAAGTCTAGAGGTTTACAGAATGTCCCTCACCCATATATTTTTAAAAGGACAGTATTTTCTCCTTTTTATTATTTTCATGGTTTTTCCCATTATTCATTGTCCTTTAAAGAGAGTTAATTGTACTTTGAGTCAGGTATGCCTATTTTCCAGCTACCTATATTGATAACATCTGATGCAGGTCAAAAGGTTGTTTTTATTTTTTATATTTATTTATTTATTTATTTATTTATTTACTTACTTACTTACTTATTTATTGAGACAGACTCTCGCTCGTTGCCCAGGCTGGAGTGCAGTGGCGCGACCTTGGCTCACTGCTAGTTCTGCCTCCCGGGTTCACGCCATTCTCCTGCCTCAGCCTCCCGAGTAGCTGGGACTACAGGTGCCCGCCACCACGCCTAGCTAATTTTTTTGTATTTTTTAGTAGAGACGGGGTTTTGTCGTGTTAGCCAAGATGGTCTCGATCTCCTGACCTCGTGATTTGCCCTCCTCGGCCTCCCAAAGTGCTGGGATTACAAGCATGAGCCACCGCACCCAGCCAGGTTGTTTTTATTTTTTTAACAATTTATACTTTTTAATGACTTGGGCTTTTCTGTGTGATGTGTATAATTCACATAATTTTATACATCAATCATGAACATAACTAAAATCAACTTCACCAAGAGGTTTATAACAAGACATAAAATTGTGAACATGAAGAAAAGCAATTCATGAGATGATATAGACGCAATGAATAGAACATTTCAGAATTATTCTTGCAAATATCAGGCCCCTAGGGTTTCCATTTTTACCTTTCAGGAAAATATACTTGTTTGAATTTAGAGAATTCCTCAAAGGCTTTTGAGGACAAAGGAAATTCAATAGAGATCAATAGATACAAGTTAGATATTTAAGTAATTGGGCACATACTGTCAGAAAAGAATAGATATAATTCCTTAGTCAGGTTCTTCAAATTGCCCACAAAGATAAAAAGTTTAGAGTGGAGGCTATGATGGGAATTGCTCTGTTTTCTTAGAGCAGCTGGTCATTTGTTCTAACATGTAATATAGCAAATCAATTCAAAAGGTGATCGTGTTAGAGAAGAATGCACTTGAAATACTTCTGTAGACACAGAAGCTATGAATCACAATGAATTCTAAAACCTTGGTGTAATTTTTTTCTTAGAAAAAAATAGGAGAAATGATTTAGCTCATGTGACCGAAGTCAATATTTTAGACGGCATGACAGTTAAGTAACCATTGTGCCACTGAATACACAATATTGCAGTAGTCATTTAAATTTCCCCTAATGTTCTAGCAGGGTTAGACATTTTCTCAAAAATTATGCTAAGTTAGTCTTTATTTGAAAACTCACAGGCATAAAGCATAAATGTACTTTAAAGATGGATATAACATAAGTGACAGCCAGCCAAATTATTCAGAACACTTAAAAATATTTAGCATGTAAATATATGCACAGGTATGTATACATGTTCATTTATGTCTATGTTTACATATACATATATTTCTGTGTATGAGTGTACATATCTGTGTGTGTATGTGTGTGCATGTGTGAGTTTGCATGTCTGTGTAAATGGGTTCCTGTTTTTAATTTGCCTTTTGTAAATGAAAAATAAAAATGACAATACCAAATTCTATTTACTGTCATGGAATCTTCATAAAAAAGATATTTAATATCACAGAAATAAAATGGCTTTATAAAAGGAAGGTAGACCAAGTTAAATTAAAATTTTATTTTGAAATAATAATCTATGCATTTTCCCTTATTTTGCTAAATACAGTTATTTAGTAACCACTTCCTTCGATCAAACCAACATTTTACTTATACATTACTGAGGTATAAAATTATTACTATATTTACACAAACACATAGTTGAATGGTAGTTGACATTAACCTAATTCCAAATTACATACCCTATTCAAAGCAACAAATTTCTGGTAAATCTACATCTTGAGTTCCCCATTTTCTTTTTTTTCAGTGATGGGATCTCGCTACGTTGACCAGGCTGGTCTCAAATTCCTGGCCTCAAGCAATCCTCCCATCTCGGCCTCCCAAAGTGTTGGGATTACAGGCATGAGCCACTGCATTTGGCCCAAGTTCTCCATTTTCATTATAATGTACATATTTTTCCTTTTTAGTATACAGATTATATTCCAAAATACTATCAAACTCAAAAATATGTAAGAGTTAGCATCTTGGGTTACTTTAATACAGGGGTCAGCAAGCTTTTCTGTAAAGGGCCAGAGAGTAAATATTTTAGGCTTTCTGGTTCAAACAGTCTCTAACACAACTACTCAACTCTGCCATTGTGGTATGAAAGCAGGCAGAGACAACGTGCAGATACATGAGCATAGGTATGTTCCAATAAAACTTTAGTTACGGACACTAACATTTGAATGTCATATAATTTTACATGTCATAATATATTATTAATCTTTTAATTTTGTTCAACCGTTTAGAAAAGTAAAAATGTTTCTTAGCTTATAGACTGTACAAAATCAGGCAATAGGTTGGATTGGCCCAGACCACAGTTTGCAGATTCCTGCTTTAATATTTTAATATGAATGGAAATATTGACTTTAATATGAATGGAGATATTGACTTTAGCGGAATGAATTCTACAATAAATTAAATTATATGCATAAAGTTTACTTGAATCCTATCTAGTCCACCTGTGTCAACGGGATACAATGGATTCGTAAAGAAAAGATAGTAATGGCACCAAAACATCCTTGCTGGTACCTATACAAAGTTCCCCACACTGACTTTTAATGTAGAGAAGTAAATGTTGGTATGACTCCAGAATTTAATTTCTTTTCCCCTGGCACTAAAATTGGATGTGCTGGAGATCCACTTTACAGAAATTATATTTCTCTGTGTAGAAGATTTAAGTGATCAGTTGATCCTCCAAGCATGATATAAACAAGTGAGGTGGGTGTAGTGACAGCTGCCCCAGAACCAAGGCTTAGCTTTTTTTGTGTGCTGTGCAACCGTGTACCTCATCACCATGCCATATTTTCTCTGAAATTGACATCTTATCTGTGACGAGCTCATTTAACCCTCGGATACTAATTAACATTTATTCACCCACTTAGTTTACCGGAGAAAGATGATTTTAATAAGTTGTTTCATTCTCCCAGTCAAATGTTGTTAATCAGACTAAATTATTACTGATTCAAGATGTATGTTAAGCCCAAGGACACCAAATGTATCAATGCAGTGTCAGCTCTTGGCTTCTGCAAGGGATGGGTTCTGGGACTTCCTCAGATACCAAATCTGCGGATGCTCAAGCCCCTTATATAGAGTGGTGTGTAGTATTTACATGTAAACTATGCAAATCCTCTGTATAATTTAAATCATCTCTAGATTAGTTAAAATACCCAATACAATGTAAATGCTCTGTACATAATTGTTAAACCATATTTTTTATTTGGGTTATTTTTTACTGTATTGTTATTTTTTAGGTTTTTAAAAATACTTTCTATCCATGGTTGGTTTTTTCTGTGAATGTTGAACCCATGGATATGAAAGGCCAACTGTATAACTCTTTACTTCTGTTTTAAACGGAATAATCTTCCATAGAGGAAGATTTGCGATACAGAAACCATTACCATCTTTATCTTTTCATGTACACTGGGTTAGATAAACAGAACCAGAACTCAAAAGCACATCATCAAAGTAGCATTTATATTTATGTTTTTAAAAATTGGAATCATGCTTTCATATGTAGAATATATTTAATTAAATTTAAATATAATTTTAATCATTTCTACCCAAATACTAGGAATATTCATAACATATAATTTTAAAATAGCTGGATAAAATATTTTTAAAATATAACATATATTTATTATCCTATTTTGACATATAAATTGTTTTCTATTTTCTATTCTACACATATGAGCTAACTCAAATGTTAGTATTTATTTATTGCTATTTTACCTTCTAAATATACTTCTCTCAGGATCTCATTGGGTGAGGGTATTCATGGTCTAGTCAGAGTCTAAAGTGTCCTAAATCTTTGAGGAATAAAATAAAAAAGAAGCTACTCACTAGTTTATAATCTGATAGGGACATACAATATTAATCTCTGATTATCCTCATTTAAGTTCTTATGTAAGAAAGCACTGGTGACTGGTAGATCCCTACCTTAAGTATTTTTAGAAAGATTGCAAAAATGAACTTTCCAAGAAGAATTATAATGGAGTGATTATTATGCCCACCCTATCCAAATAAGGTATCTTTGTTTTTATTTCAAGATGGTATACTTTTAACCGAATAAAATGGCATTTCTTTATTCTTTCAAAGCAAACAAATAAAATTTTTCATTGCTAAAGGTATTTGTATTTGTATTTCTTTAGTAAGCTCTCTTGTCATGTTCACTACTTTTTATTAAGGTGTATTTCTGTTATTGATTTTAATAAGACTTTTATATATTGTATACCAAAATGTTTTCTAATTTGTGCCATTCTGTATTTTTGCTTTAAAATATTTAGTTTTAAAATGATATAAATAAAAAGTTATTCAAATTTGTATAACAAATTTTTGAAACTTTTATGTTAAAAATGATAACCTTATACCTTAGCTGATAATCTATTTGCTTTCTTTTCTTGTTGACAGTTGATTGACAGCTTTATTTATAAATTTAATTCTTCAGCATGCTTGTATTGTATGACTATGTATTTGGTTAGCGAAATGTTTTTGTGCACTAATCTCATTGTTCCAGAGTTTTTTCTTGAATAATTATTTTTCCAATGACTTATAGTAACACTCTACTTTGCTTATGTATAATGAAAATTCAAGTAATCAAAGGTAGAATAGGGTTTATGAGCTTAAGATCTACGATCAGTTGAATTTAGGTTTTCTTTTTTTTTTCTTTTTATTATTATTATTATACTTTAAATTTTAGGGTACATGTGCACAATCTGCAGGTTTGTTACATATGTATACATGTGCCATGTTGGTATGCTGCACCCATTAACTCGTCATTTAGCATTAGATATACCTCCTAATGCTATCCCTCCCCGCTCCCCCCACCCCACGACGGTCCCCGGAGTGTGATGTTCCCCTTCCTGTGTCCATGTGTTCTCATTGTTCAATTCCCACCTATGAGTGAAAACATCCAGTGTTTGGTTTTTTGTCCTTGCGATAGTTCGCTGAGAATGATGGTTTCCAGCTTCATCCATGTCCCTACAAAGGACATGAACTCATCATTTTTTATGGATGCATAGTATTCCATGGTGTATATGGGCCACATTTTCTTAATCCAGTCTATCATTGTTGGAATTTGGGTTGGTTCCAAGTCTTTGCTATTGCGAATAGTGCCGCAGTAAACATACATGTGCATGTGTCTTTATAGCAGCATGATTTATAATCCTTGGGGTATATACCCAGTAATGGGATGGCTGGGTCAGATGGTATTTCTAGGTCTAGATCCCTGAGGAATCGCCACACTGACTTCCACAATGGTTGAACTAGTTTACAGTCCCACCAACAGTGTAAAAGTGTTCCTATTTCTCCACATCCTCTCCAGCACCTGTTGTTTCCTGACTTTTTAATGATTGCCATTCTAACTGGTGTGAGATGGTATCTCATTGTGGTTTTGATTTGCATTTCTCTGATGGCCAGTGAAGATGAGCATTTTTTCATGTGTTTTTTGGCTGCATTAATGTCTTCTTTTGAGAAGTGTCTGTTCATGTCCTTCGCCCACTTTTTGATGGGGTTGTTTTTTTTTTCTTGTAAATTTGTTTGAGTTCATTGTAGATTCTGGATATTAGCCCTTTGTCAGATGAGTAGGTTGCGAAAATTTTCTCCCATTTTGTAGGTTGCCTGTTCACTCTGATGGTAGTTTCTTTTGCTGTGCAGAAGCTCTTTAGTTTAAGTAGATCCCATTTGTCAATTTTGGCTTTTCTTGCCATTGCTTTTGGTGTTTTAGACATGAAGTCCTTGCCCATGCCTATGTCCTGAATGGTAATGCCTAGGTTTTCTTCTAGGGTTTTTATGGTTTTAGGTCTAACATGTAAGTCTTTAATCCATCTTGAATTAATTTTTGTGTAAGGTGTAAGGAAGGGGTCCAGTTTCAGCTTTCTAACCAATGAGAACAAAGGCACAACATACCAGAATCTCTGGGACGCATTCAAAGCAGTGTGTAGGGGGAAATTTATAGCACCAAATGCCCACAAGAGAAAGCAGGAAAGATCCAAAATTGACACCCTAACATCACAATTAATAGAACTAGAAAAGCAAGAGCAAACACATTCAAAAGCTAGCAGAAGGCAAGAAATAACTAAAATCAGAGCAGAACTGAAGGAAATAGAGACACAAAAAAACCCTTCAAAAATTAATGAATCCAGGAGCTGGTTTTTTGAAAAGATCAACAAAATTGATAGACCGTTAGCAAGACTAATAAAGAAGAAAAGAGAGAAGAATCAAATAGATGCAATAAAAAATGATAAAGGGGATATCACCACCGATCCCACTGAAATACAAACTACCATCAGAGAAAACTACAAACACCTCTATGCAAATAAGCTAGAAAATCTAGAAAAAATTGATAAATTCTTCAACACATACACCCTCCCAAGAGTAAACCAGGAAGAAGTTGACTCTCTGAATAGACCAATAACAGGCTCTGAAATTGTGGCAATAATCAATAGCTTACCAACCAAAAAAAGTCCAGGACCAGATGGTACTTCTACCAGAGGTACAAGGAGGAGCTGGTACTATTCCTTCTGAAACTATTCCAATCAATAGAAAAAGAGGGAATCCTCCCTAACTCATTTTATGATGCCAGCATCATCCTTATACCAAAGCCGGGCAGAGACACAACCAAAAAAGAGAATTTTAGACCAATATCCTTGATGAACATTGATGCAAAAATCCTCAATAAAATACTGGCAAACCGAATCCAGCAGCACATCAAAAAGCTTATCCACCATGATCAAGTGGGCTTCATCCCTGGGATGCAAGGCTGGTTCAACATATGCAAATCAATAAATGTAATCCAGCATATAAACAGAACCAAAGACAAAAACCACATGATTATCTCAATAGATGCAGAAAAAGCCTTTGACAAAATTCAACAACCCTTCATCCTAAAAACTCTCAATGAATTAGGTATTGATGGGACGTATCTCAAAATAATAAGAGCTGTCTATGACATACCCACAGCCAATATCTTACTGAATGGGCAAAAACTGGAAGCATTCCCTTTGAAAACTGGCACAAGACAGGGATGCCCTCTCTCACCACTCCTATTCAACATAGTGTTGGAAGTTCTGGCCAGGGCAATTAGGCAGGAGAAGGAAACAAAGGGTATTCAATTAGGAAAAGAGGAAGTCAAATTGTGCCTGTTTGCAGATGACATGATTGTATATCTAGAAAACCCCATTGTCTCAGTCCAAGATTTAGGTTTTCTTACTAGCTTTACCTTTTATAAGCTGTTTTTGTAAATTATGAAATTCTTTTTGTTTTAATTTTCTCAGGTAAAAATATTTATTAGAGTATCTCTGAAAAGTGATTAAACATCAAATGAAATAATGATGACTAACTGAACTTTTAGAACATAGTAACCTTTTGATACAGACAAGAGGCACGTAGATTCTGGGTAGAAGAGAGTGATTCCTCAGCAAATGCCCCACCATCAAGCCTGGAAACCTACAGCCCTAAATGAAAATGTACATTCCTGTTTTTGCACCCAAATGTTGCCTTTTGGCCCAACACACCCCCCGCATCCTGTACCCAGGTGTATTAGTTTCTTTTCACACTGCTGATAAAGAGATACCTGATATTGGGTAATTTATAAAGGAAAGAGGTTTAATGGACTCACAGTTCCACTTGGCTATGGAGGCGTCACAATCATGGTGGAAGGCAAAAGACACATCTTAAATGATGACCAGCAGAGATAGAATGACAGCCAAGCAAAAGGGCTTTCCCTTATGAAACCATCAGATCTTGTGAGACTAATTCACTACCATGAGAACAGTGTAGGGAAAACCACCCCCATGATTTAATTATCTCCCACCAGGTCCCCCCGACCCACAACACCTGGGAATTACGGGAGCCACAATTCAAGATGAGATTTGGGTGGGGACACAACCAAACCATATCATCATATAAATCCAAACCACAGGCTCCATGAGCAGATGAGCAGAGTAGCAGAAGAGCTGTGTGGCAGAGGAGAGAAGAGAAGGAACATGTGAACGTCGAAAGTTCATCTGGGGACAGTCAGGGAGGAGATCAGCCATGGGATGGCCAAACTCCAGGGGAAGATTATCTTCCTACTCCATCCCCCTCCAGCTCCCCATCCATCCCACTGAGAGCCACCTCCATCCAGCAATAAAACCCCCGCATTTACCATCTTTCAATTTGTCCCTGTGACCTGATTCTTCCTGGATGCCGGACAAGAACCTGGCAGGGGGGCATTGAGCTGGTTAACACTTAAGCCATCTGCAGATGGCAGAGCTACAAGAGCACTGTAATGTGCACACTAGGGCTTTGGGAGTTGCAGTCACCCACCCCTAGATGCTACCGTGGGGCCGGAGCCAAAAGTGCTCACCCTTACTCCTACACCTGCCTGTCTGCATGCTCCCCCTCCTGTAAGGGGTTTGAGGGCATGGCAGGCAAACAGATGAGCCACACCCTTGTCACATGTCCTGCGAGGGGGATCAGGGACCTCTCCCATTTCACTTTTACAGATGTTAGATATATTAATGGCATAGTGTAACTTCTGATTTTATTTTTATATCCTTGTAACTTATGTGTTAATTTTTATATGTGTGGTGAATATGTTTTGCCTTCCCAACCTTCTTTTCTACCTTTCTCTCTCCTACTAGAATGCCTCTCTTGTTCAGGTTTCTTTCTTTCATTGCATATTCATCTACTTTACTTAATTAAATGGAAAGACCAATAATTCATTTTCTATGATGAAGTGTTTCTTTCCTTCTGTGGCATGGAACAGGACTTAGCACAGAGTCACACTATGTACATATGGAATGATGAATAGGACGAACAAATTGTATATGGCATCGGTATTCATCTTACTACAACAAAATGTTAAAGCAAATAAGATGGAATAACAACTAATATTTAGTTTAAGGTACTTTTCTATGGGGTGTGTGTGTGTGTGTGTGTGTGTTTTACTAGCAGTAGGTACTGGGCTCTGTATGGTATATTAGTAAGAGAGTTCAAGCAAGGCAAGCAGTTGTACTTGTGAACCTATTCTCTTAACCCCTGTGTGATAATGCTATCAGAGAACACATAGACTAGAAGGGCTTCAGTCTTAGATGACATTATTAAGCTACTGCTCAGACATCCCTGGAATCAGACCTACTCCTAGACTTCCAATTATATTATACGTCATTGTTTATAATAATACTAAGTAAAGATTTTTGTTAAGTGAGTATAAAAGTGTCTTGACTGAGTCCTCAAACTGACCATCGGGCTGTCTGATACCGTTGTAGACCTGATTGAAAATTCTTGATCTGGCCACATACCCTGTTTACATTGATGCAGATTCAACTGGGTGAAATAACTGTGAACTGGGCATGTGAAGAGAAAGCTGAAAGCCATGATCTCAAGATGGAAACTTCAGTATCCAGCAAAGGTATTTATAATCTTGAGACAGACAGAACACTTTCTACCAGTGCAGTGCTCTCACAACCAACAAATCTAGATTTTGCGGACCAATCAGTATACTTCTTAATATGAGTCTTTGGCTTTTGAAGATCAACTTCTCTTTTACTTTACTTATCTTATTCCTGAGAACGTACCTAGACTCTCTGTTGTATCAGCTTATATTGTTGGTAGCAATGCTTTTAGTCTTCATACTCTTTAACATTCTAGAAATGCCACCAAAATTACTTGATCACAATACCTCTTGAAGTAAATTAACCAGTGACTCTTGAACGAAATACCTCATAGGCCCATCGAATCTTGATTTCAACTTTTTATTGGCTTGTTTGACTGAGTACATTATAGTTACTACATTAATTTTGGCTCTCACTGAGTTTTTTCTTGTTCTTTCTTACGAGTTTCTGTTCATTTTGATTCACAGCCTTCTGGTCTCTTCATGCTTGAATACAGAGAAGTAATAGTTTCTCCTTTGAATGCCACAAAGAGAGGGAATCTCTGCAATGTCTGATCTGTTCTGTTAGTGGATCTGTGTATTGTCAAGGAGTTTCTCAGATAGCTCATTGTTTGGAATATAAGCTATTCCATTACTTGGAATCAGCATCTTGTAAATCAGACCAGTAGCCCAACCCAAACTGTGGAGTGAGGAGAGTGCCTTGTTTACAGGTGTCTAGCAACAATTGATGTAATCTCCTTTTTGTTGTTTATAATAACATTCTGTCAATTCAAAAAATCAAACCCTACCACACACCAGGATCCCTATGTCTTATGTTTGCTGCATGTCAGATTCATGTACATAGCTAATAAAATCGCACACATACATCTAAAAATGTTTAGAATTGAATTTTGAATAATGTTCATTTTTCCACAAGGTCTTACACTTCTCTTGCATCTTAGGACAAAAAGAAAGTAAGCCTCTATCTTTCATGAGCTCTTTATTTGAGTGTGGGTCAAAGGATTTAAGTGTTTTCATAACTCAAAATTAACTTTTTCAAAGAATCCTGTAGTAAATACTAAGCAAAAGGCTAGCTAATTATCAAGTTAACCATTTATGACTGTACCACTTATTTTTCTCTCCCTCTCTCCATTTCTGTCTTCCTAGACCTTACAGTCTACTTCCACTATATCCTGCAAAGTTATAATATTCTGACTGTTTAGAAGACTAAACTTTGCAATATTCTCCCAATATCATCCTCATGGGGTTTTCCAAACTCCTCCTTTCATTGTGTCTGTTAGCCCCATATTCTTCCTCATTGTTGAGCTTAATCTCAGTAAAGGAAAAATTATCTCACAATCCCCACTAAGATTTTATTCCCACCCTCCAGGGAAAGTTTATGCCATTGTTTTTGAAAATTGGTCACAAGTGAAGCTCCATGTTACAGTAAAATGATTCTTCAAGCCTATGAGACCCAGCACATTTCCTGGAATTAAAATATTTTCTACTGCTAAAGTCCAGTTCTGTTAGAGTTTTATCCACCTATAAATATAATAGTCTCACCATCAGAAGGTTACAGATGGTTCCAAAGAGCAAACTGAAACTCAATTGAAGAATATTAGCGTGTCACAAGTCAGAAGAAAATGTGTAGAACACTAAAGAAATAGGTTAGCCTCAGGGCATCCTAAATGTCTTCTTTATGAAAGTAGATTTGGCCAAAATATTTGGCATAATTTATATTAACAAAGCAAAGACCAGAAGTAGACTGGTATGGAGAACTTGAGTGGAAAATATGAACACTAAAAAATTTACTGCTCCTCAGAAACTAAAAAGGGGGTCTAATGAGCCAACTTAGAGATTCAACAATGCCCCATCTATATGGATCCGGATCAAATTAATATATTTACTGATTTTTCTAGACAATTAAAATGAAATTAATATGATTGCTCAGGAAAGGCTGGCACATTTCTAACAGATACAGTGGCTTCTCTTTCAGAATAAATTTTGTGACTTATGCCAAAATATTCCTTTAAGATACAAATAGAGTAGAGGCAGTGGACATCTCAAATGAACCTATGATCCTAGCAGCCTCACAACCTTAACAATTTGAAGCAAATAATTGGAGGAAGAACATGACTTTCTATTTTGCAACACTGCTCCAACAAAATTTATTAGGTCAAAACTGTCAAATTAAATCTTTTTAAGCTGGTAGATATCTAGAGATCCCAAAGGAATAGGCTGCGTAAACCAATTTATAGCACTCATGTATACCCCAGTTTCTGTGCACCCAATGACCTCTACAAATCAAATATTAGATTAGTTACCCTCTACTCTTTGGGCCAAAGATTTTATTAAACTGAGCAGAATACATGGAGCTTACTTTATTAAAATTAAAATTATTCCGTATAAGCCCTTAGCCGAATTATATTTCAGTGTGTTTTGAGACCTCAAGCAACCTCAGGAAGAAGACCTATTATTGAGGACTCACTGTGTCAGGCATCAGTCCTTGCGGTACTCCCATATTGCCAGTTAAGCAGCTTAGTGTAAAAGGCTACTTATGTGTACAAGGCCTCAGGGCAATCAATAGAACTGTGATCCCTAGATTTCCCGAAGCTTCTAACTACCAAGTAAACACTTTAAGATGGCAGATTTATTTGCAGTCTTATTTAGGAACTAGTAGGTAAGGGCAGTCAGTATTTATTTACTCTTTTCTGGGACAATCAGCAATCTCCCTAGTTGGTTATGCCTCTGGTATTTATGAAAACACCCTTATATTTCTCCCGATGTCTAAATAATAATCACAGATTTGACTCTTGCTTGAAAATACACCCTGGAATGAAATGTAGATGATTTAGTGCTGTGCTCCTTGAAGGAGTCCACAGGAGAACTCCATATATCGCTCAAGAAGATTAACTGAAGAGGAACAGAAAGCACCTAGAGAAAACTTGCAAATCTGTGAAGAAATTATGCAATATTTAGGTTGTGATCTCATCAGACATGTATTCTACTCTGTGAGAATAAGCTTATTTGACTACATTGACTCCAAATTAAAAACAACTAAAAGCTTTTTCATTTTATATTTTAGGATTGACTGCTTTATGTAGGCAATAATGCCTTTTCCCCTAAAATACATCAGCCTTCACATGTGTTTACTAATACTGGTATCTCCCATGGGATAGGAAAGGAAAACAGTTCCTTTTCTTTAAGGACCTGTCTGCAGCAGCCTCCAACTTTGGGTATCCCTAATTATGCTAAGTCCTTCTGTCTTTTTGTTTATGAAAGAGGAGATTGTGAATTAGGACTACTAACATGGTAAAGTAGTTTTATACCAGACCCATGCTTTTAGCCTAACCCTCCACTCAAAAGGGTAAAGCATAGATTTCTGCTTGTGTGAAGTATCAGTGGCGGCCAAACTGCTCTGTGCTAACTTGACAGGTTCCACATGCAGATAACTCTGGTTAATTCTTAATTTACCACATGAAGACTCATGAAAAGTTTTTATTGTTTGTACTACCATTAAACTTTGTTAAAATCTTAATCCTGCGAGTTTACTTCTTCTACGTGGAGAACCAAATGTCTATTTAGTAGTAACTCAAGAATTAAGAATGTTCAATTATGATTGTACAGATCCCTCTTATTCAATACTAAATTAATATTGTTTGATATGGCTCTTATCTTAGAAATGGTGAAGGCGTTCGTTATGTGGGATATGCTGTTACCACTGAACTTGAAGTTATCAAAGAAGTTCTATTCTTAACCCTTAATCTGCTCAGGTAACTAAACTCAACATCTCCAATTTGAGCATGAACTCTGGAAAAAGCTTAAAAAGTAAACCCTTATGCAAATAGTAGATGTGCTTTCCGAGTTTTGTGCTATTTGACAATATATGGCTGAAATACACAGGTCTATTGAAAATGGTAAATAACAGTGCAGTTTAAAAAGCTATTCAATGCAGCAAAGTGCTATCTGTAAATAAACTAGTACTCCATATTAGAGACCACTCCTGAAGCTAAGGGCAATGGCTTGTCTTATTCCGTTGGTAAATGTGGCATTTACCCACCCAATATATTAAGTGCTAATAAATTGATAAAATTGTGATTGACTCAAAGCAATCAGCTCAAAATTCTGAAAAAATATATATCCACTATCAGAGGACTTCTCCGTCTTTAATGATGGATACTGGTGATTTTATCCTGGCTTCCTAGAAACATTACATTTCCAGGTCAAATTGCTTCTTTATTGCTCTTTATATAATTAAAAAGATAGTTTCTACATGGCTCATCTATAAGCAGCAAAATCCTGAGACTATGTAAAGATGAAAAATTGTTCAGGGCTTCCTCCTCAAAGTCTTATCAAGCATTTATTTACAAATGAATTTCATGCAACAGCCCAAATATTTATGAGTATATTTTATAAAGTTCTTGTTTATAAAGTTTCTGGTTAGCTATGATATTTTCATTGATAGAGGGCTATAGTTGATGAAGTGACAAAAATACTATTTAGGTTGGTGCAAAAGTAATGTCAAAGACTGCAATCAATTTTGCACCAAACTAAATACTACACTCTTTATTCCCTACACAGAAAGAGCCCATCAACCTTCTTCTCTTACTGAAGAAATTAGTTCACTGTTTATATCACCCCCAGTTATTAGGAAAATTAGTAACAGTAAACATGATGCTAAAGTTAAAATCGTCCAAACTATAAGAATTTGCTTCTCTGTCTTGGCCTAAAATTTTTTCACTAACATTAGTGGTCATGGAAAAAATCTCAGAGTACAAAGCAACTTTCTCCCTGTGAGATCGTATCAAAACATTTCACGGAATTTGTAATATTTAGAAAAATTTTACCAGTAACTGGCTTCATGTTACACATAGATGTAGCTAAATGCAGTCAAGGACTTACTTGTTATACTTATAATTAGATTTAGCAAGTACAAGCCACCTTCCAAACATTGCATGATTTCCAGCATGGAAACTGGATCTACTGGAAGAGAGACTAATAGTAATACAAAAGTTGTTTATCCTTGCTTGAAGAGAACATTTTATATCCTTCTGAGCATAGCAATAGCAGTCAAGATTCAAAACAGTGCAGGCATACTACTAACCTGTACACCAGTGGAATTTTACACTCATGAGTGAGCTCAAATTAACACCATTTAATAAAAAACCTCCAGAAGCCTAGGACTTTAAGACTCAAATTGTGTTCCCAAGAAGATGACAAGATATGGCTGCTTATATCCAATACAGTGGCACATGACACACCAGAATAATTTTCTTAATTCATTTTCCTTTGGAAATTTTTGGATGCTATCCTCCTGCTGCTTTAATTCAAATACTTTGAAGTCATTGCTTTTGTTTATGATAGCTTTGTTATAATCAATATACATGATTAGAGTTTGCCTATAAATTTTCAATAAGATTTAATATATCAAAATATAGAGAATATGAACACTTCTTTTTTCAAGCACAGTATCTTCCCATGAGACTAGTCCTACGTAATTCTAGTCACTATCTCTTCCTGTGATACCTTGTGGAGGCACAATGTCACTGCTCAGATGTTATATGGGTAACAAGATCTGAATGGGACACAGAGCTGGCAGCAATTCAATTCTGAAAATAAAAATGGAAACACAAAACGGCCATCACAAACAATGCATATCATTTTTAATAATGTTTAATACATGTAGATGTAATTATCAGGGAAAAAAATATGATAGGTCATTTTTATTTAAGAATTCCCTAAGCTTTGATATTTGGGTAATTCCTTCTCCCTAAAACTATGATGTGGAACTAGAGGGTTGTGGAAGTTACCAGTTGATTAGATGGGTGCCTATAATTTGGCCTATTTTATCATAATCTTTAGAATCTGTTAAATTTCTTTTTTGAGATGGAGTCTGGCTCTGTCACCCAGTCTTTAAATTGGCAATTTTGACAAATGATTTTGTGAGGTGTTGTTAACTGTGCTAGAAATTGTGAATGTTAAGTTGTTTATATGCTACCCAATTAAATGTCATCCAGCCACTCAAAAATGTTCTGACATTTTTCAGTGGGTTTCTTCAAATTTGCTATCAATATCATTTTTTTGTAAATACGCCAAAAAAAAAATGCAAAAAGAAGGTAAAAAATTTTGTTGTCTAATGCTCCAAAATGAAATCAGAAACTGATCTAAAATCTGAATTAGCCAATGCAATATAGATTTTGATAACTCAATCAAAATAATGAAAAACAGATAATCTTTTCATTATGAAAAAGGAAATGAAGATAACAGATACAATGACATCCAACTACAAGATGGTTTTGGACACATTTTTAACAACCAAACCAGTGCCAAACCAAAATGAAAGAAATGTCTTTATTTTTCAAATGTGTGTTGCTAAAGGTCAAAATAGTTGGTGCTCTAGTTCCATTGGGCTGCTATGACAAAATATCATAAATTGGGTGGCTTATAAACAGCAGAAATTTATTTATCACAGTTCTGGTGAATGAAAAGAAGTCCGAGATCAAGGCACAGGTAGGTTTAAGGTCTAGTGAAAGTCAATTTCATAGGTGTTCATAGAGGGTGCCTTCTTTTATGTTCTTTCATGGTAGAAGGGCTATAGGTTTTTATCAGATTCTTTAATAAGGGCACTAATCCCATTCATGAGACCTCTGTCCTCATGACCCAGTCACCTCCCAAAAAGGTCCATCTCCTATTATTATTACTTTGGAGGTTAGCATTTCAACATACAAATTTTTGGGAGACACACTTTTTTTTGGCCAAATTAATAAACCTCTGTATTCCTCAATTTACTCTTGTATAAATGGTGATAATAAGAATGCACACTATAAATTAGGGATGGAATTTGTTAAGATAATGAGCGTAAAGTGCAGCATGATGTATTGTCCACTGAAAGAACTTAATAGATGTTAGCAAAAATTACCATAAACAGTGATAGGACAGTGTATAATGCAAACTGATGGCTATAGAAGAGATATATAGATGTAGTTCTGGAAACTCAGAACAGGAAACAATTACTGTTGCCTGGATGTTTTAAGAAAGCCTTAGTTGAGGAGAGGAACTGGAGTAAAAACATAATAATACAGGGATTTTTCAGTTAGGGAGAGTAACCCAGTCAGAGAAAATGTCCACTCCATCAGGATGTCAATTCCACAAAAGGGATATTGTCTTTGGATTTTGGCACTGGGCGTGTTATCAATTAAGGACTTATTTATTGAATTAAATTGAATTACAGGAATCAAAATAGATATGCCAAAAATTGTGAATACTTCAATATGACTACAGAATACAATATTTAATAAGCAGAAAGCTATATGAGATGAGACTGGAGAAAAACTTGATATACTTTATACTTCAGGCTAGTATTATCAGAATTCCTTTTATTCTCACCAGATGTGTATATATCTATCTCCAGCCACAGATGGGAAAAATAAATATTTTAATAAAGTTCTAAAAAAAGCCATGTGAAGATTTTGAGTTGAGTACCAACAAAATCAGATTTTTATTTTTAATGAAAAACAATGTTTTATGACATTTATATTTTGAGAAAACCTAAAAGATTTCATTTTACTAATTTTATTTGGTATATTTGAAAAATTCTTTTGTGTTCGACAAGAAATATTTAATTCTTTTTTAAATACACTAAGCACAGTCATGTAACCTACAATAAAAATACTAAAAATAATATTTTAAACTGACACATTTTGTTTTTTAGATGTAGTTGATTTAAAAGTCTCTACTTATGAGTTTGGTAAAAAATAAACAAAGATGACTAAAATGAAAACAAACAGAAGATTCAGAAATCAAATTTAGAAGAGTTGCCACCATTCTCACTTGCATTTGCTACAGACTCAAAGGAGACAGGGGAGTGAGGGAGCTCTGTAGAGAAAAAGGGACGATTCCAGGTATGCTTTCACTCGAGATTCTTGTCATGGAAAAGCTGGAAATGAGCAGCAGAACATCTTAGGCATGTAAACCAAAAACAAAATTCTGAGCCCCTGCAACCATCTGAATGGATCTCTCCTCTCAGCAAGGGCATTCCTAAGTTAACATGAAAAAATAGTTCAGGCCACAACGTGGAGGGGAATAGAGATGCCTCATTTATATATACCCTTCTCCCTTTTGGAGTCACTGATAGAAGAGAATCTTTAAGTCTGATAAAAATCATTTTTAATCTACTCTCTCTGAAACCTGCTACATGGACACTACATCTGGAAGATAAAACCTTGGTGTCCACAAATCCTTAGTATAACCCAGACATACCTTTCTATTGATAATAGCTCTTTCAACCAATTGCCAATCAGAAAATCTTTGAAGCTGCCTGTGACTTGGAAGCTCCCACTTAGAGTTTTTCCAACTTTCCTAACTGAACCAATATACATCTTACAAGTATTAATTGATGCCTTATATCTCCCTAAAATGTATAAAACCAAGTTGTGCCCTGACCACCTTGAGTACATGTTCTCACAATCTCCTGAGTGCTGTGTCACGGACCATGGACACTCATATTTGGCTCACAATAAATGTCTTCAGATATTTTACAGAGTTTGACTCTTCATTGACAGGTGATTGCTTTGGAAAACATATTTGGCTTTCTGTAGTTGGTGCTGTCTTGAAACTGAGGTAAAGAGAAGTAGCAATCATTGATCCAGTTTGGATGCTTTGGGGCCAATTGCTGTAGTTGGGGTTTGGCTTCCTGGCCAGGTTGCTGCAGACATGGTGGATTAGAATTCTGCTGTCCTACATGACCTGGCCATTGACCATTTCTACATTAATTTCATCACAGCTTTAATCTCTTTCATAAATGCTAAGCACTTTGTATTATTACTAAACCCTTCAGTCCTCAGGGGAATTCAAAGGCTGTATTAATGCTAAAATTCCATTTTTATTTTTGCATAGTAATTGCTTGTTAAAATAAAAAAACAGATTATGATATATAATTTGAAAAAAATAATTATTCTCAATCACTGAGCTGGATTGACGAATGCTTGCTTTTATCTCTTGAATTTTGGGTATCTCTTAATTTATTAAAAATATGTGTGTTTTGATATTTACTTATCATCTCATGGTTTAATATCACAAAAACTGTTTTTTTAAAAATAACCTTTGTTCATTAGCATTAGATTCATTAAACCAATCTCAACTGTGTGCTTGAATTATTTCTATGCTCCTAAAAAAGTATAATAATGCAATGTAACTGCCTGATGGGTTCTCTCTGTCCACTGCACAAATACCATGGCATTGCAGTAAAAAAGAGTTTAACTGATGCAAGGCTAATCATGTCAAATGGGAGATAGAGTTATTGCTCAAATAAGTCACCTAGAGGTTTTGAGGGTAGGAGTTTTTCAAAGACAGCTTGGTGGGCAGGGAGCTAGGGTAATGGCGGTTCTGATTGGGTCAAAGATGGAATCATAGGGAAGTCGAAGCTGGCCTCTTTGGCTGAGTCACTTCTGGGTGGGACCACAGGAGTGATTGGCAGGTGAAGGTGGAGCCATCAGTGATCAGACATGAAAAAAAAAAAAAAACAGAAAAAATATCTTGAAAGGCCAATCTTAGGTTCTACAATAGTGATGTTATCTGCAAGGGAAATTGGGGAAGTTGCATATCTTATGACCTCCAGGATAATGCCTAACAATGGTTTCTGGGTCTACTCCTTAGCATAATTCAGGCTTCTCTCCTAACCCTAGCTTTGTGATCTCTCATTAGCTTTACAAAGGCAGCTGAGTTTTGGGAAATGGCTACTGTCATTTAAACTATAAACTAAATGTCTCCCAAAGTTAGCTGGCCTAAGCCCATGATTACTTAAAGCAGTTTGAAGGCGAAAGGCAAGATGGTGGCTGGCTAGATCAGATCTCCTCAACCACCATGATTATCTGACATAATTTTTGCAAAGGTGGTTTCAGCAAGAAATCAATAACACTTGTTTGGTAAACAAACCCTTACTTGGTGTTGGAGTTTTAAAACAGTACAATGGGTTTATAACAATACATTTTGATAAAAATCTAATTATACTTATTTAAATGTAAATAATATGAAAAAAGTTCATGCAAAAGGCAATTGTTGAATTAAGTTTAGAGCTTTTGTTTTGTGTATCAGTACACAAATACTTTTAGAAGAAAAATTTTTTTTTTATTATTATACTTTAAGTTTTAGGGTACATGTGCACATTGCGCAGGTTAGTTACATATGTATACATGTGCCATGCTGGTGCGCTGCGCCCACTAACTCGTCATCTAGCATTAGGTATATCTCCCTATGCTATCCCTCCCGCCTCCCCCCACCCCACAACAGTCCCCAGAGTGTGATGTTCCCCTTCCTGTGTCCATGTGTTCTCATTGTTCAATTCCCACCTATGAGTGAGAATATGCGGTGTTTGGTTTTTTGTTCTTGCGATAGTTTACTGAGAATGATGATTTCCAATTTCATCCATGTCCCTACAAAGGACATGAACTCATCATTTTTTATGGCTGCATAGTATTCCATGGTGTCTATGTGCCACATTTTCTTAATCCAGTCTATCATTGTTGGACATTTGGGTTGGTTCCAAGTCTTTGCTATTGTGAATAGTGCCGCAATAAACATATGTGTCTATAGCAGCATGATTTCTAGTCCTTTCGGTATATACCCAGTAATGGGATGGCTGGGTCAAATGGTATTTCCAGTTCTAGATCCCTGAGGAATCGCCACACTGACTTCCACAATGGTTGAACTAGTTTACAGTCCCACCAACAGTGTAAAAGTGTTCCTATTTCTCCACATCCTCTCCAGCATCTGTTGTTTCCTGGCTTTTTAATGATTGCCATTCTAACTGGTGTGAGATGGTATCTCATTGTGGTTTTGATTTGCATTTCTCTGATGGCCAGTGATGATGAGCATTTTTTCATGTGTCTTTTGGCTGCATTAATGTCTTCTTTTGAGAAGTGTCTGTTCATGTCCTTGGCCCACTTTTTGATGGGGTTGTTTTTTTTTTCTTGTAAATTTGTTTGAGTTCTTTGTAGATTCTGGATATTAGTCCTTTGTCAGATGAGTAGGTTGCAAAAATTTTCTCCCATTTTGTAGGTTGCCTGTTCACTCTGATGGTAGTTTCTTTTGCTGTGAAGAAGCTCTTTAGTTTAATTAGATCCCACTTGTCAATTTCGGCTTCTGTTGCCATTGCTTTTGGTGTTTTAGACATGAAGTCCTTGCCCATGCCTATGTCCTGAATGGTAATGCCTAGGTTTTCTTCTAGGGTTTTTATGGTTTTAGGTCTAACGTTTAAGTCTTTAATCCATCTTGAATTGATTTTTGTATAAGGTGTAAGGAAGGGATCCAGTTTCAGCTTTCTACATATGGCTAGCCAGTTTTCCCAGCACCATTTATTAAATAGGGAATCCTTTCCCCATTGCTTGTTTTTCTCAGGTTTGTCAAAGATCAGATAGTTGTAGATATGCGGCGTTATTTCTGAGGGCTCTGTTCTGTTCCATTGATCTATATCTCTGTTTTGGTACCAGTACCATGCTGTTTTGGTTACTGTAGCCTTGTAGTATAGTTTGAAGTCAGGTAGTGTGATGCCTCCAGCTTTGTTCTTTTGGCTTAGGATTGACTTGGCGATGCGGGCTCTTTTTTGGTTCCATATGAACTTTAAAGTAGTTTTTTCCAATTCTGTGAAGAAAGTCATTGGTAGCTTGATGGGGATGGCATTGAATCTGTAAATTACCTTGGGCAGTATGGCCATTTTCATGATACTGATTCTTCCTACCCATGAGCATGGAATGTTCTTCCATTTGTTTGTATCCTCTTTTATTTCCTTGAGCAGTGGTTTGTAGTTCTCCTGGAAGAGGTTCTTCACGTCCCTTGTAAGTTGGATTCCTAGGTATTTTATTCTCTTTGAAGCAATTGTGAATGGGAGTTCACTCATGATTTGGCTCTCTGTTTGTCTGTTATTGGTGTATAAGAATGTTTCTGATTTTTGTACATTGATTTTGTATCCTGAGACTTTGCTGAAGTTGCTTATCAGCTTAAGGAGATTTTGGGCTGAGACAATGGGGTTTTCTAGATATACAATCATGTCATCTGCAAACAGGGACAATTTGACTTCCTCTTTTCCTAATTGAATACCCTTTGTTTCCTTCTCCTGCCTAATTGCCCTGGCCAGAACTTCCAACACTATGTTGACTAGGAGTGGTGAGAGAGGGCATCCCTGTCTTGTGCCAGTTTTCAAAGGGAATGCTTCCAGTTTTTGCCCATTCAGTATGATATTGGCTGTGGGTCTGTCATAGATAGCTCTTATTATTTTGAAATACGTCCCATCAGTACCTAATTTATTGAGAGTTTTTACCATGAAGGGTTGTTGAATTTTGTCAAAGGCTTTTTCTGCATCTATTGAGATAATCATGTGGTTTTTGTCTTTGGCTCTGTTTATATGCTGGATTACATTTATTGATTTGCATATATTGAACCAGCCTTGCATCCCAGGGATGAAGCCCACTTGATCATGGTGGATAAGCTTTTTGATGTGCTGCTGGATTCGGTTTGCCAGTATTTTATTGAGGATTTTTGCATCAATGTTCATCAAGGATATTGGTCTAAAATTCTCTTTTTTGGTTGTGTCTCTGCCTGGCTTTGGTATCAGAATGATGATGGCCTCATAAAATGAGTTAGGGAGGATTCCCTCTTTTTCTATTGATTGGAATAGTTTCAGAAGGAATGGTACCAGTTCCTCCTTGTAGCTCTGGTAGAATTTGGCTGTGAATCCATCTGGTCCTGGACTCTTTTTGGTTGGTAAGCTATTGATTATTGCCACAATTTCAGATCCTGTTATTGGTCTATTCAGAGATTCAATTTCTTCCTGGTTTAGTCTTGGGAGAGTGTTTGTGTCAAGGAATTTATCCATTTCTTCTAGATTTTCCAGTTTATTTGAGTAGAGGTGTTTGTAGTATTCTCTGATGGTAGTTTGTATTTCTGTGGGATCGGTGGTGATATCCCCCTTATCATTTTTTATTGCATCTATTTGATTCCTCTCTCTTTTCTTCTTTATTAGTCTTGCTAGCAGTCTATCAATTTTGTTGATCCTTTCAAAAAACCAGCTCCTGGATTCATTAATTTTTTGAAGGGTTTTTAGTGTCTCTATTTCCTTCAGTTCTGCTCTGATTTTAGTTATTTCTTGCCTTCTGCTAGCTCTTGAATGTGTTTGCTCTTGCTTTTCTAGTTCTTTTAATTGTGATGTTAGGGTGTCAATTTTGGATCTTTCCTGCTTTCTCTTGTGGGCATTTAGTGCAATAAATTTCCCTCTACACACTGCTTTGAATGCGTCCCAGAGATTCTGGTATGTTGTGTCTTTGTTCTCGTTGGTTTCAAAGAACATCTTTATTTCTGCCTTCATTTTGTTATGTACCCAGTAGTCATTCAGGAGCAGGTTGTTCAGTTTCCATGTAGTTGAGTGGTTTTGAGTGAGATTCTTAATCCTGAGTTCTAGTTTGATTGCACTGTGGTCTGAGAGATAGTTTGTTATAATTTGTGTTCTTTTACATTTGCTGAGGAGAGCTTTACTTCCAAGTATGTGGTCAATTTTGGAATAGGTGTGGTGTGCTGAAAAAAATGTATATTCTGTTGATTTGGGGGGGAGAGTTCTGTAGATGTTTATTAGGTCCGCTTGGTGCAGAGCTGAGTTCAATTCCTGGGTATCCTTGTTGACTTTCTGTCTCATTGATCTGTCTAATGTAGACAGTGGGGTGTTAAAGTCTCCCATTATTAATGTGTGGGAGTCTAAGTCTCTTTGTAGGTCACTCAGGACTTGCTTTATGAATCTTGGTGCTCCTGTATTGGGTGCATATATATTTAGGATAGTTAGCTCTTCTTGCTGAATTGATCCCTTTACCATTATGTAATGGCCTTCTTTGTCTCTTTTGATCTTTGTTGGTTTAAACTCTGTTTTATCAGAGACTAGGATTGCAACCCCTGCCTTTTTTTGTTTTCCATTTGCTTGGTAGATCTTCCTCCATCCTTTTATTTTGAGCCTATGTGTGTCTCTGCATGTGAGATGGGTTTCCTGAATACAGCACACTGATGGGTCTTGACTCTTTATCCAATTTGCCAGTCTGTGTCTTTTAATTGGAGCATTTAGTCCATTTACATTTAAAGTTAATAGTGTTATGTGTGAATTTGATCCTGTCATTATGATGTTAGCTGGTTATTTTGCTCATTAGTTGATGCAGTTTCTACCTAGTCTTGATGACCTTTACATTTTGGCATGATTTTGCAGCGGCTGGTACTGGTTGTTCCTTTCCATGTTCAGCGCTTCCTTCAGGAGCTCTTTTAGGGCAGGCCTGGTGGTGACAAAATCTCTCAGCATTTGCTTGTCTGTAAAGTATTTTATTTCTCCCTCACTTACGAAGCTTAGTTTGGCTGGATATGAAATTCTGGGTTGAAAATTCTTTTCTTTAAGAATGTTGAATATTGGCCCCCACTCTCTTCTGGCTTGTAGGATTTCTGCCGAGAGATCTGCTGTTAGTCTGATGGGCTTCCCTTTGAGGGTAACCCGACCTTTCTCTCTGGCTGCCCTTAACATTTTTTCCTTCATTTCAACTTTGGTGAATCTGACAATTATGTGTCTTGGAGTTGCTCTTCTCGAGGAGTATCTTTGTGGCGTTCTCTGTATTTCCTGAATCTGAACGTTGGCCTGCCTTGCTAGATTGGGAAGTTCTCCTGGATAATATCCTGCAGAGTGTTTTCCAACTTGGTTCCATTCTCCCCATCACTTTCAGGTACACCAATCAGACATAGATTTGATCTTTCCACATAGTCCCATATTTCTTGGAGGCTTTGCTCATTTCTTTTTATTCTTTTTTCTCTAAACTTCCCTTCTCGCTTCATTTCATTCATTTCATCTTCCATTGCTGATACCCTTTCTTCCAGTTGATTGCATCGGCTCCTGAGGCTTCTGCATTCTTCACGTAGTTCTTGAGCCTTGGTTTTCAGCTCCATCAGCTCCTGTAAGCACTTCTCTGTATTGGTTATTCTAGTTATACATTCTTCTAAATTTTTTTCAAAGTTTTCAACTTCTTTGCCTTTGGTTTGAATGTCCTCCCGTAGCTCAGAGTAATATGATCGTCTGAAGCCTTCTTCTCTCAGCTCGTCAAAGTCATTCTCCATCCAGCTTTGTTCCGTTGCTGGTGAGGAACTGCGTTCCTTTGGAGGAGGAGAGGCGCTCTGCTTTTTAGAGTTTCCAGTTTTTCTGTTCTGTTTTTTCCCCATCTTTGTGGTTTTATCTACTTTTGGTCTTTGATGATGGTGATGTACAGGTGGGCTTTTGGTGTGGATGTCCTTTCTGTTAGTTAGTTTTCCTTCTAACAGACAGGACCCTCAGCTGCAGGTCTGTTGGAATATCCTGCCGTGTGAGGTGTCAGTGTGCTCCTGCTGGGGGGTGCCTCCCAGTTAGGCTGCTCAGGGGTCAGGGGTCAGGGACCCACTTGAGGAGGCAGTCTGCCCGTTCTCAGATCTCCAGCTGGGTGCTGGGAGAACCACTGCTCTCTTCAAAGCTGTCAGACAGGGACATTTAAGTCTGCAGAGGTTACTGCTGTCTTTTTGTTTGTCTGTGCCCTGCCCCCAGAGGTGGAGCCTACAGAGGCAGGCCTCCTTGAGCTGTGGTGTGCTCCACCCAGTTGGAGCTTCCCGGCTGCTTTGTTTACCTAATCAAGCCTGGGCGATGGCGGGCGCCCCTCCCCCAGCCTCGCTGCCACCTTGCAGTTTGATCTCAGACTGCTGTGCTAGCAATCAGCAAGACTCCGTGGGCGTAGGACCCTCCGTGCCAGGTGCGGGATATAATCTCGTGGTGCGCCGTTTTTTAAGCCCGTCGGAAAAGCGCAGTATTCGGGTGGGAGTGACCCGATTTTCCAGGTGCCCTCCGTCACCCCTTTCTTTGACTCAGAAAGGGAACTCCCTGACCCTTTGTGCTTCCCAAGTGAGGCAATGCCTCGCCCTGCTTCGGCTCGCACACGGTACGCGCACCCAGTGACCTGCGCCCACTGTCTGGCACTCCCTAGTGAGATGAACCCGGTACCTCAGTTGCAAATGCAGAAATCACCCATCTTCTGAGTTGCTCACGCTGGGAGCTGTAGACCAGAGCTGTTTCTATTCGGCCATCTTGGCCCCTCCCCCCTAGAAGAAAATTATGAAAAATGGACATATAAATAGAACTACGAATGCATAATATAGTTTATTTTAAAGTTTTAAGTGGCTTTAATATTTTTATTATATCCAGTTTCAGTAATTTAAATATTTTGAGCTAGTAGATATTTACTACATTTCACACTAGATTTATAAACAATGATATAACGAACTGATTAATCTTATGAATAGGATGCCACTGATGTTTCATTGTATTCAACTACTATTTACCAAGAATCAGATATTGTACTAGGTTAAGGGAGCATAAAACTAAAACACCTACCATCACTGTTCTAATGTAATTTTCAAATTTATGTGGAAGTGTGTGTATACACTCATGTATGTATAAAATATACACATACATTATATAATGTATATGTAATATATATTATATATTATGTATAATATTTAATACATAGATAATATATAAATCATATATACTATCTAGAATACAAATATATATTAACCTCTAATTATTTATTCAAAAAGATTTCACGAATACCTAGTATTTGCCAGCAAATATTCTAAGTGATAGAGAAACAATTATATTCAAGCCATAAAAAGTTCTTCACGCAGCTGAAATTCAGTGAAGAAGACTGATATGGTTTGGCTCTATGTCCCCACCACATCTCATCTTGAATTGTACTCCCATAATTCCCATGTGTTGTGGGCGGGACCCAATGGGAGATAATCGAATCATGGCTGAGGTTTCTCCCATACTGTTCTCTTGGTAGTTAATATGTCTTACGAAATCTGATGGTTTGATAAGTAGAAAGCCGTTTCATTTAGCTTTCATTCTTTCTCTTGCCACTGCCATGTAAAAAGTGCCTTTTGCCTTCTGCCATGATTTTGAGGCCTTCCTAGCCACATGGAACTGTAAGTCCATTAAACCTCTTTCTTGTGTAAATTGCCCAGTCTCAAGTATGTCTTTATCAGCAGCATGAAAATGGACTAATACAGTAAATTGGTACCAGAAGTGAGGTGCTACAGAAAAGATACCTGAAAATGTGGAAGTGACTTTGGAACGGGGTAACAGGCAGAGGTTGGAACAGTTTGGAGGGTTCAGAAGAAGACAGGAAAATATAGGAAAGTTTGGAACTTCCTAGAGACTTGTTGAATGGCTTTGCCAAAAATGTTGATAGTGATATGGACAATAAACTCCAGGCTGAGTTGGTCTCAGATGGAAATGAGGAACTTGTTCGGAACTGGAGCAAAAGTGAGTCCTGTTATGTTTTAGCAAAGAGACTGGCAGCATTTTGCCCCTACCCTAGAAATTTATGGAATATTGAACTTGGAAGAGATGATTTAGGGTATCTGGAGGAAAAAAATTCTAAGCAGCAAAACATTCAAGAAGTGACTTGGGTGCTGTTAAACGCATTCAGTTTTATAAGGGAAGCATGGCATAAAGTTCATAAAATTACCAGCCTGACAATGCAATAGAAAAGAAAATCCCATTTTCCGAGGAACAATTCAAGCCATCTACAGAAATTTGCATGAGCAATGGGGAGCTGAATGTTAATCCCCAAGACAATGGGGAAAATGTCTCCAGGGCATGTCAGAGGTCTTCATGACAGCCCCTCCCATCACAGGCCTGGAGGCCTAGAAGGAAAAATGGGTTTCATGGGCTGGCCCCATGGTTCCTGTGCTGCATGCAGTCTAGGGACTTGGTGCCCTCCATCCCATCTTCTCTTGGCCGAAAGGGGCCAAGGTACAGGTTGAGCTGTTGCTTCAAAGGATGGAAACTCCATGTCTTGACACCTTCCACATGGTGTTGAGTCTGTGGGTGCACAGAAGTCAAGAATTGGGAACCTCTGCTTAAATTTCAGAAGATGTATGGAAATGCCTGGATGACCAGGCAGAAGTTTGCTACAGGGATGGGGTCCTCCTGGAGAAGCTCTGCTAGGGCAGCACAGAAGGAAAATGTGGAGTCAGAGCCCCTACACAGAGTCCCTACTGGGGCACCACCTAGTGAAGCTATGAGAAGAGGGCCACCATCTTCCAGACCTTAGAATGGTAGATACACCAACAGCTTGCACCATTCTCTTAGAAAAGCCACAGACACTCAATACCAGCCCATGGAAGAAGTCAGGAAGGAGGCTGTACACTGCAAAGCCACAGAAGCAGAGCTGCCTAAGACCATGGGAACCCACCTCTTGCATCAGTGTGACCTGGATATGAGACATGGAGTCAAGGGAGATCATTTTGGAGCTTTAAGTTTTGACTGCCCTGCTGGATTTTGGACATGCATGGGTCCTGTAGCCCCTTTGGTTCAGCCTATTCTTCTCATTTGGGATGGCTGTATTTACTGAATGCCCGCACACCCATTGATCTAGGAAGTAACTAACTAGCTTTTGAATTTACAGGCTTATAGGCAGAAGGGACTTGCCTTGTCTCAGATGAGACTTTGGATTGTGGACTTTTGAGTTAATGCTGAAATGTGTTAAGACTTTGGAGGACTGTTGGGAAGGCATGATTGGTTTGGAAAGTTGAGAACATGAGATTTGGGAGCAGTCAGAGGCAGAATGGTATGGTTTAGCTCAGTATCCCCAACCAAATCTCATCTTGAGTTGTACTCCCGTAATTCCCACATGTGGGAGGGACCTGGTGGGAGATAACTGAATCATGGCTGAGGTTTCCCCCATACTGTTCTCATGGTAGTGAATAACTCTCATGAGATCTGATGGTTTCATACGGGGAAACTCGTTTTGCTTGGCTTTCATTGTCTCTCTTTCTGCCACCATGTAAGAGGTGCCTTTCATCTTCCACCGTGATTGTTAGGCCTCCGTATCCATATGGAACTCTAAGTCCATAAACATCTTTGTTTTTTAAATTGCCCCATTCCAGGCATGTCTTTATCAGCAGTGTGAAAATGGACCAATACAGTGATCAAAAATAAACAGAAATGTTATGTTGTGAAAGAAAATATTTTGGGCCCCCAACACCACTAAGGAAAACTCAAGCTGGAAACTGCTTAAGGCAAAACTGCATTCCATTCTATTCAAAGTTATCCCTCTGCTCACTGAGATGGATGCATATCTGATTCCCTCCTTTCGAAAGGCTAATCAGAAACCCAAAAGAATGCAATGCAACCTTTTGTGTCTCACCTATCCGTGACCTGGAAGCTCCCTTCCGCTTCAAGTCTTCCTGCCTTTGCTTCAAGTTGTCCCGCCTTTCCAGGCAGAACCAATGTATTCTTACACATATTGATACATGTCTCATGTCTCCCTTAAAATGTATAAAACCAAGCTGTGCCCTGACCACCTTTGGCACATGTCGTCAGGACTTCCTGGGGCTGTGTCACGGGTACGTCCTCAACCTTGGCAAAATAAACTTTCTAAATTGACTGAGACCTGTCTCAGAGTTGTTGAGTTCAAAATTTGGTAACCATGGAGGGATTCTGAATGGAAATGCCCCTGACCTTTGACAAATCTTCTATCAGTGCTTGTTACCAGCATGAGCTAACTTTATGGCTCAAACCAATAGTACAAATTGCTAAGGGCTGAGAGCATCCCCTCCAGAGATCCTTTATCTCCCCAAATTTGGTCGAGATCTAAATTTTATTTTGCTGTACAACTGGTTTTTTGGTTTTTTTGGAGTTTTAATTGCCTCAACAAGGAAGGCAAGTTTTCCTGTTTCCATGAGGACGGACGGCAGGAAATTCCTTTATGGAGTTTGAGCTTGCTTCCAACAGGAAAGATGAGATTTTTTTTTTCCCTGCTTCTAGGATGGTAGAGAGCAGTCTACAGCATGAGACCCATCACTAGGTAACAAACTGGTGTGGCATACTGTCTTGCAAATTATTTCCAAATGACTGAAGTTAGCATTTAACAACCAGCTGGTGTTAATTTCTGATTACATTTAGAATGCTCAGAAATTGTATAATTTGTGTGATCGTTGTTAGTTTTGCTTAACTGTTTTGTTGTTTATTTCTGCCCTGATCAAATCTGAAGGGGAACCCTAAATTATGGGAAACAAGGCCTCTGAAGTGGGAGGAAAATGGCCAACAAAAGGAAAACAATTGATTTTTAATATTAACTACCAAAGGGGCTTTATTTACATAACAAGGCGACATTTTTGCCAGCAAGACCAAACTGAAAGAGCAATGGCCGTACTTCTGAAATAGCAGCATTTTGTCTTAGCTTAAATGTGGTGCTCAGTGGTTAAGAGTTAGCTTAATTAAAAGTCTAACATGCAAGATGTGTGTGTATGCATGTGTGTATGTTTGTATTTGAAAGGCCTTCGTGTTTTTGTTTTTTTGTTTGTTTTTCTTTCCTAATACCGTGTCTTTTTTTGAGCAATAGTTTTTTTCTTCTTCTTCTCAGTTGACTGAATTCTGTTTTCACCTGATTTTTTGACTAAAATAGTTATTGAAACAGAGGCTACTCTTGGGTTTTTAAGGAAGAGTATAGTTTAATTTTATGTTTTGGCCCCCTAAAAATTAAAGCATCTCTTTCTAGCACCATGAAACTTTTTCTCTCTGTACCTTATGATATAAATTTTGCTGTTTGATTTTCATCTTAGTTGTTTCCTTTAATGTGAAAATTTAAGGCTATTTAGCTGAGAATTGCCAAGGTTTATAAAACAGGTTATCAAGAAGCTGAAAGTCTAAGATAGGGAAAAAAAGTGGCAGGGGGGATCTTTATAAATCTATACAATGTACTTCTATTGGCATGCCTAATACAGCTTTTTATATATTTATGTCTTGTGTACACAATGATTCACTACAAAAAATATATAAAAGAGCTCTAATTAATTGGCTTAAAAAATAAAAGCACTCATATCAGGTACTAACAAAGAAAAGACTAGTCAAATGCTTTTTCAAGTTTATGTAAGTTAAGTAAAATCTTTAAAAAGTAAGCTAGCTTTAAAATTTTTGGTAAAATAATATTAGAAATGTCTTAAGAATTGCCAGCCTACATTTTTGTTTGCATTTATTAATTAAGCAATTTCGTACTTATCAATGTCAAATACTATAGGGTGTCAAAATTTGACGTAGGGGTTACAAAACTATAAACCCAGTCCCAAAGAGAATGATCTTTTCTTGTTTAATTTTTAATAAATAAGGCATTGATATGGGTTTAATGAAAATAGCTGCATCTTGAATGTAATAAGATTATCATAACTTCTAATCCTGTGGCTTTAGGCATTCTAGTCCACAGACAACAAGGAGCCTTGTTTTGGGAAAGAACTGTTATTGTCTTTGTTTCAAAGCTAAACTATAAAGTAAGTTTCTCTCAAAGTTAGTTCTCCCTATGCCCAGGAATGACCAAGGACAGGTTGTAGGTTAAGAGCAAGATGAAATCAGTTAGGTCAAATCTTTTTTCACTGTCTCTGTTATCATTTTGCAGTGCTGGTTTTATAACATTAAATCATAGCTATCACAGTTTTCATAAATAACCTAGGTAAAAGATTAAAATAAAATAATTAGGTAAATGTAATGGGGTAAATACTTATAAACAAATGGGTCATAATTTAGAATATAAAGTTCTATTAAATTAAATAATAGATATTTCATCATCTGTGTATTCTCCATTTAATATATATTATAGGAAAACATTCTTGCTAAAAAAAGATTGTTGGGACTTACCAAGGTGGCTGAATAGGAACAGCTTCTGTCTGCAGCTCCCAGGGAGATGAATGCAGAAGGTGGGTGATTTCTGCATTTCCAACTGAGGTACCCAGCTCGTCTAATTGGGACTGGTTAGACAGTGGGAGCAGCCCACGAAGGGCAAGATGAAGCAGGGTGGGGCGTTGCCTCACCTGGGAAAGGCAGGCGTTCGGGGTACTCCCTCCCCTAGCCAACGGAAGCTGTGATTGTCTATGCGGAGAAGAATGGTGCACTCTGGCCCGGATACTATGCTTTTCCCATGGTCTTCACAACCCACAGACCAGGAGATTCCCTTGTGTGCCTACTTCACCAAGGCCCTGGGTTTCAAGCACAAAACTAGGTGGCTGTTTGGGCAGACACCTAACTAGCTGCAGAAATTTTTTTTCCATACACCAGTGGCACCTAGAACACCAGCAAGACAGAACCGTTCACTTCCCTGGAAAGAAGTCTGTAGCCAGGGAGCCAAGTGATCTAGCTCAGCAGATCCCACCCCCACAGAGCCCAGAAAGCTGAGATCCACTGGCTTGAAATTCTTGCTATGAGCACAGCAGTTTAAAGTTGACCTGGGACACTAGAGCTTGATGGGGGAGGGGTGTCCACCATTACCGAGGCCTGAGCAGGCGGTTTTCCCCTCACAGTGTAAACAAAGCCTTAGGAAAGTTCCAACTGGGCGGGGCCCTCTGCAGCTCAGCAAAGCCATTGCAGCCAGACTACCTCTCTAGATTCCTCCTCTCTGGGCAGGGCATCTCTGAAGAAAAGACAGCAGCTCCAGTCAGGGGCTTATGGATAAAACCTCCATTTCCCTGGGATAGTGCACCTGGGGAAAGGGGCTGCTGTGGGCACAGCTTCAGCAGACTTAAAAGTTCCTGGCTGTCAACTCTGAAGAGAGCAGCAGTTCTCCCAGCACAGTGCTGCAGCTCTGCTAAGGGACAGACTGCCTCCTCAAGTGGGTCCCTGACCCCTGTGCTGCCTGATGGGGAAGGGGAAGACACCTCATACAGGAGAGTGCCAGCTGGCATCTGGCGGGTGCCCCTCTGGGATGAAGCTTCCAGAGAAAAGAACAGGCAGCAACATTTGCTGTTCTGCAGCCTCTGCTGGTAATACCCAGGCAAACAGGGTCTGGAGTGGACCTCCAGCAAACTCCAACAGACCTGCAGCAGAGGGGCCTGACTCTTAGAAGAAAAACTAACAAACAGAAAGGAAGAGCATCAACATCAACAAAAAAGACGTCCATGCAGAAACCCCATCTGAAGGTCGCCAACATCAAAGTTCAAAGGTAGATAAATCCATGAAGACGGGGAGAAAACAGAGCAGAAAGGCTGAAAAATCCAAAAGCAGAAGGCCTCTTCTCCTCCAAAGGATCACAACTGCTTTCCAGCAAGGGAACAAAACTGAACAGAGAACGAGTTTGATGAATTGACAGAAATAGGCTTCAGAAGGTGGGTAATAATAAACTGCTCTGAACTAAAGGAGCATGTTTTAACCCAATGCAAGAAAGCTAAGAACCTTGAAAAACGGTTAGAGGAATTGCTAACTAGAATAACCAGTTTAGAGAAGAACGTAAATGACCTGATAGAACTGAAAAAACACAGCACAAGGACTTCGTAAAGCATACACAAGTATCAATAGCTGAATCAATCAAGTGGAAGAAAGGATGTCAGAGATTGAAGATCAACTTAATGAAATAAAATGTGAAGACAAGATTTAGAGAAAAAAGAACGAAAAAGGACAAATAAAGCCTCCAAGAAATATGGGACTATGTGAAAAGACCAAACCTAATTTTGATTGGTGTACTGAAAGTGAGGGGGAGAATGGAACCAATTTGGAAAACACTCTTCAGGATGTCATCCAGGAGAACTTCCCCAACCTAGCAAGACAGACCAACATTCAAATTCAGGAAATACAGAGAACAGTACAAAGATACTCCCCAAGAAGACCAACCCCAAGACACATAATCATCAGATTCACCAAGGTTGAAATAAAGCAAAAAGTGTTAAGGGCAGCCAGAGAGAAAGGACAGGTTACCCACAAAGAGAAGCCCATCAGATGGCGGATCTCTCTGAAGAAACCCTACAAGCCAGAAGAGAGTGGGGACCAATATGCAACATTCTTAAAGAAAAGAATTTTCAACCCAGAATTTCATATCCAGCCAAACTAAGCTTCATAAATGAAGGAGAAATAAAATCCTTTACAGACAAGCAAATGCTGAGAGATTTTGTCACCAGCAGGCCTGCCTTACAAGAGCTCCTTAAGGAAGCACTAAATATGGAAAGGGACATCCAGTAACAGCCACTGCAAAAACATACCAAATTGTAAAGACCATCAACACTATGAAGAAACTACATCAACTAACAGGCAAGATAACCAGATAACAACATAATGACAGGATCAAATTCCAAGATAATAATATTAACATTAAGTGTAAATGGGCTAAATGCCCCAGTTAAAAGACAAAGACTGGCAAATTGGATAAAGAGTCAAAACCCATCAGTGTGCTGTATTCAGGAGACCCATCTCACATGCAAAGACACACATAGGCTCAAAATAAAGGGATGGAGGAATAAATTTCCCAAGTAAATAGAAAGAAAAAAAAAAAAAAGCAGGAGTTGCAATCCCAGTCTCTGATAAGACAGACTTTAAACCAACAAAGATCAAAAGAGACAAAGAAGAGCATTACATAATAATAAAGTGATCAATGCAACAAGAAAAGCTAACTAACCTAAATATATATGTACCCAATACAGGAGCACCCAGATTCATAAAGCAAGTTCTTGGAGACCTACAAAGAGACTTAGACTCCTACACAATAACAGTGGGAGACTTTAACACTGCACTGTCAATACTAGACAGAACAATGAAACAGAAAATCAACAAGGATATTCAGTTCTTGAACTCAGCTGTGGATCAAGCAGACCTATAGACGTCTACAGAACTCTTCACCCCAAGTCAACAAAATACACATTCTTCTCAGCACCACATCACACTTATTCTAAGGAAGTAAAGCACTCCTCAGCAACTGCAAAAGAACTGAAATAATAACAAACAGTCTCTCAGACCACACTGTGATCAAATTAGAACTGAGGATTAAGAAACTCATGCAAAACTGCACAACTACATGGAAACAGAACAACCTGCTCCTGAATGACTACTGGGGGATTAACAAAATGAAGGAAGAAATAAATAAGTTCTTTAAAACCAATGAGAACAAAGACACCACATATCAGAATCTCTGGGACACAGCTAAAGCAGTGTTTAGAGGGAAAGTTATAGTACTAAGTGCCAACAAGACAAAACAGGAAAGGTCTAAAATCGACACCTTAACATCACAATTAAAAGAACTAGAGAAGCAAGAGCAAACAAATTCAAAAGATAGCAGAAGACAAGAACTAACTAAGATCAGAGCAGAACTGAAGGAAATAGAGACATAAAAACCCCTTCAAAAAATCAATGAAGTGAGGAGCTGGTTTTTTTTAAAGATCAACAAAATGGATAGACCTCTAGCCAGACTAATAAAGAAGAAAAGAGAGAAGAATCAAATAGATGCAATAAAAATGATTGATAAAGGGAATATCACCACTGATCCCACAGAAATACAAACTACCATGAGACAATACTATAAAACCCTCTATGCAAATAAACTAGAAAATGTAGAAGAAATGGATAAATTCCTGGACACATACACCCTCCCAAGATTAAACCAGAAAGAAGTCAAATCCCTGAATAGACTAATAACAAGATGTATAATTGAGGCAGTAATTAATAGCCTACCAACCAAAGTCCAGGACTGGATGGATTCACAGCCAAATTCTGCCAGATATACAAAGAGGAGTTGGTACCATTCCTTCTGAAACTATTCCAAACAATAGAAAAAGAGGGACTCCTCCCTAACTTATTTTATGAGGACAGCATCATCCTGATACCAAACCTGGCAGAGACACAACAAAAAAAGAAAATTTCAGGCCAATATGCCTGGTGAACATCAGTATGAAAATTCTCAATAAAATACTGGCAAACCGAATCCAGCAGCACATCAAAAAGCTTATCCACCATGATCAAGTCGGCTTCATCCCTAGGATGCAAGGATGGTTCAACATATGCAAATCAGTAAACACAATCCATCACATAAACAGAACCAATGACAAAAGTCATGTGATTATCTCAATAGATGCAGAAAATGCCTTCGATAAAATTCAACACCCCTTTATGCTAAAAACTCTTAGTAAACTATGTATTGAGGGAACATGTCTCAAAATAATAAGAGCTACTTATGAAAAACACACATCCAATATCATACTGAATAAGCCAAAACTGGAAGCATGCCCTTTGAAAACTGGCATAAGACAAGGATGCCCTATGTTACCACTTTGATTCAACATACTATTGGAAGTTCTGGTGAGGACAATCAGCAAAAGAAAAAAATAAAGGTATTAAAATAGGAAGACAGGAAGTCAAATTATCTCTGTTTGCATATGAAATGATTGTATATTTAGAAATCTCAATTGTCTCAGCCCAAAATCTCCTTAAGCTGATAAGCAACTTCAGCAAAGTCTCAGGATACAAAATCAATGTCCAAAAATCACAGGCATTCCTATACACCAATAATAGACAAACAGAGAGCAAAATCATGAGTGAACTCCCATTCACAATTACTACAAAGAGAATACAATACCTAGGATACAACTTATAACAGATGTGAAGGACCTCTTCAAGGAGAACTACAAAACCCTGCTCAAAAAATAAGAGAGGACACACACTAATGCAAAAACATTCCATGCTCATGGAGAGGAAGAATCAATGTTGTGAAAATGGCCATAGTTCCCAAAGGAATTTATAGATTTAATGCTATCCCCATGAAGCTGCTGTTGACTTTCTTCACAGAATTAGAAAAACAACTACTTTAAATTTCATATGGAACCAAAAAAGAGCCCACATAGCCAAGACCATCCTAAGCAAAAAGAACAAAGCTGGAGGCATCATGCTACAAATTTACAAGAAGAAAACAAACAACCCCATCAAAAAGTGGGCAAAGGATATGAACAGACACTTCTCAAAACAAGACATTTATGCAGCCAAAAGACACATGAAAAAATGCTCATCATCACTGGCCATCAGAGAAATGCAAATCAAAACCACAATGAGATACCATCTCACACCAGTTAGAATGGCAATCATTAAAAAGTCAGGAAACAACAGGTGCTGGAGAGGATGTGGAGAAATAGGAACACTTTTACACTGTTGGTGGGACTGTAAACTAGTTCAACCATTGTGGAAGTCAGTGTGGCGATTCCTCAGGGATCTAGAACTGGAAATACCATTTGACCCAGCCATCCCATTACTGGGTATATACCCAAAGGACTAGAAATCATGCTGCTATAAAGACACATGCACACGTATGTTTATTGCGGCACTATTCACAATAGCAAAGACTTGGAACCAACCCAAATGTCCAACAACGATAGACTGGATTAAGAAAATGTGGCACATATACACCATGGAATACTATGCAGCCATAAAAAATGATGAGTTCATGTCCTTTGTAGGCACATGGATGAAATTGGAAATCATCATTCTCAGTAAACTATCTCAAGGACAAAAAACCAAACACCGCATGTTCTCACTCATAGATGGGAACGGAACAATGAGAACACATGGACACAGGAAGGGGAACATCACACTCTGGGGACTGTTGTGGTGTGGGGGAGGGGGGAGGGATAGCATTAGGAGATATACCTAATGCTAAATGACGAGTTAATGGGTGCAGCACACCAGCATGGCACATGTCTACATATGTAACTAACCTGCACATTGTGCACATGTACCTTAAAACTTAAAGCATAATAATAATTAAAATAAATAAATACAAAATAAATAAAAAATAAAAAGGACAGATGTTCAGGACAAACCAGAAAGTCTTGGCATGTCATGAATGGTCAGTGTAAGTCTCAATAAGATGATTTTATATATATATGTATATATATATGACATATATATGACAAAAACTTTTATATAATCAATTTGTCATATTATTAAGTTGTGGTTTGCTTAGGAAAAAAACTGATAATTTTTTAAATTAAGCTGATTACATCCATGTACCTCCCTGTATGTGCTTTTAAAGTCCTTGTAACATTTAGTTAGAGGGCTTTAACTCCTGGGTCTAAAATGAATACAAAGCCCTGCTAAATCTTAAACACTTACAGCAATTAAATCATCATATTCAGGCCCCATAGAGATGCCAGACAAATAAACTGCATTCCTGAGACACAGGGCAAGAAATTAAAGCTATTCAGCTCTTCAAGGCCCTAGGAATCTTGTGGAAGAGGTGAATGCAAAAGATTGTAAGGCCCAATTTTGAAAGATAAAATAAATTCGGTTTCCCTATAAATTAATCATTAGTGTCAAAGGCACACTGATGCAAAACCAGTATATAAACCCCTGTGTCAGATTAACAAAGCTTTCTTGCATCATTAACCAATTCCTTAATAAAGGCTATAAAGGTTATAAAAGGCTTATGGAAGTTATATTTTATAATCAAGATGAAATTGTATAGATTGTTTACAAAATTCTGAAAAACAAATGTAACTGGGTTCATGCTGTTTTTATTAGGGCTTCTTGTTTAGAAAATTAATTAAGTCTCCTCTCTCAAAGAACAAAGATTTTTGCTTTTTATTCAAATCCTTGAATTATCACTCTGGTTAAATAAATGACTTTACAATGAACTGTAATCCTATTTTGTAACATCAAATGTTTTAAACCTTTTATAGTTGACAAAATTTCCAAAATCAAATAACTATGTCTTTTCTAACCTAATTAATCCTTTAAGACAGTAGCTTCCCCAATGTCCAAAAATAACATAATTTGGCTAATTTGGTATAAAAATTACACAGGAAGTACTGTCAAATATGGAATTGTGTTTGGTTTTCTTTGGACCGTATTTGTAGAAATATATTATTGGTATGTGTTCCAAAATTCTGGGAAACTCACGTAATTCTGATATAACTTAGTGTACGCTATCAGTAATAATGATAATTGTTATGTTAAAATTATTGCGTGCCACAGAGTTAACAAATTTCCTTGACAATTGTGTCTTTTGACTATGGGTGCCTTATTTTACCAAGGCTTTGACTGGAATGGTGTGCTTTCCTTTAAGGAATCAAACTTGGCTTATGAAGCCAATAAAGCTCTTGATAAAACTGGCCTCATATTTTGTGTACACATTCCTACACAAGTTTTCTGACCTGTGGTAAGTAAAAAATGCCACTTTCTGACAGGTGCAGAAGTCCCAGGTTTATCTCGGAACCTCAAGGGGAGAAGAAATTCACCCAACTCATAGGTATTTCATGGCACAAATCCATGGCCTGGATTTGCTTTAAAAAAGTCTTATCTGAGATTCCTCCTATGGAACAAAGTTCCATAAAATCTCATTTTAAAGCCTATGTAAAAAAATAATTATACTTGTTGCACTGTACACAAATAATTAGGCCAAGTATAATAAGCAAACCAATTCTATCATAATTTGTCTTTAGTAAAATGGTAAACTGGAGAGAGTAAAAAAAAAATATTGTTTCAAAATGATAGTAAACCTGTTGTTATATTCTAATCTTGCCTAATGTTTTTTTTTCTTCAATTTTTATTTTCTACAGTTTGGACTGAATTCTAATTTTTCTTGGCTACAAGTTTTCAAAATAATGTTCCCATTTTTTTTTCCTTCTTTTTTCCCCCACTTTTTCCTAATTTGGAATCACTGAAAACTAAGATGTGCTTTCCTAAACCTTATGAACTGAAGCCAGACAACTTAAACTTCAGAATAAAATAACAGCAACATATTTACATATTTAAGCCACTTTCATCACTGCCAACTAATGTGTAGGCTTCAGAGTAATGTGGCCTGTATTGATTTTTCTAGGATTGTTCTTTTGTTTTTGTTTTTTTTTTTCTTTCTCTCTTCCTCCCCACTATTTTCTCTTCACAGGACGTGAGTCTTCACAACCTGCTAAAAATGAACTTTCAGGACCTACCCATCTAGGAATAAGCCATCCTAGCCATGAGCGATCAGAGACCAGAGACTCATTTTTTTGTAAAATGCTTTCTCCAAAAGACTTTTAAAAAGAAAAGGGGGGAAATGTGAAAAGAAAATATTTTGGGCCCTCAAAATCCCTAAGGAAAACTCAAGCTAGAAACTGCTTAAGGCAATCCTGACTCCTATTCTATTCAAAGTTAACCCTCTCCTCACTGAGATGGATGCATATCTGATTGCCTCCATTGGAAAGGCTAATCAGAAACTCAAAAGAATGTCTCACCTATCTGCCACCTGGAAGCTCCCTCCTGTTTCCAGTTTTCCTGACTTTACTTCAAGTTTTCCCACCTTTCCAGACTGCACCAATGTACTTCTTACATATTAATTGATGTCTCATGTTTCCCTTAAAATGTATAAAACCAAGCTGTGCCCTGACCACCTTGCGCACATGTTGTCAGGACATCCTGAGGTTGTGTCACAGGTTCATCCTCAACCTTGGCAAAATAAACTTTCTAAATTAACTGAGACCTGTCTCAGATTTTCTGGATTCTCAGTGTCAAGTTGTGTCACACTTGGATATTCAGTGAAAGCTTCTTAAAAATGTTGACTGAGTTGAGTCTTCAAAAATTTTCCAACTTACTTACTGAAAGAAGGAAAGAAAGACTATCCCAGACAATATTATTATGCTTTTCCTTTACACTTGCAAATACTTCTCTTAACCTTATTGTCTTGATATCTTAACCATGACCTTGGACAACAAACTATAGCAGTCTTGACAACTGATAGCTTATACAAGTGTTTATAACATCAGCATCTCCTAAAATAAAAAGTCTGAGATTTTACAAATAAGTAAATTCCTTTCTGTTTCAAAGCTCTTTAATAGTCACCAAATAATATATCTCTTCTTAGAACTTGTAGCAAGGAGTTAGCAGCAGAGTTGATTACTCTTTTTGTTGATAGACTTTATCATGGTCATAATTAACAAATAAAACTAGAATAGAATCTGAGGGTCACCTTCTCACTCTAATTGAATTTTATCTTGACAAATATCTAATTAGTGCTTCAAATTATGACTCAGTCTTTATTCTTGTAGGAACTCATGGTTCAAAATTGGGCTCAGTCAAGTAAACAAGTCAGGGTGACACTTGTGATTAGCTTCAATAAGTAAAAGAAGTATTCACAAAAAAGATGTATAAAGGTATAGAGAAAAAATTACTATTTTGTAGGTAAAGTGTCAAAAAATCTTGTTTAAACTGTTCTTTTATTCTCTCAAATCTGTGTTCAATCACATTTAGAAACTTGCAAACCCAAAAGAAAAGGAAGAAAGTATATTCAAGACAGCAGTAATATCTACAAAATCTCAGAGACATGAAAGAAGCATCGCTCATATTCTTTAGCATCAAGTGCAATAAGATGTGAAGTAAGATAATGATTACCTTAATTCACATTTAACATGTTCAGTAATTTGATAATTCGGTCCCATCATCATCAGTTACTAAAAATGTGAATGTGCACAGGTTACTTAGTCCCACTGAATCCCAAATACATATTAATAAGCAGGGGAAAATAGAATGGAATTTCTCAGGAAATGTAAGACAATAATCCATGTTAGGCTTCATGCAGGCCTGATACATAGTAAGTGATTACTAAATATAAGTTACTATTATAATCATCATCATCAACACTATCAGCTATATTCAAACCTCATTATCCATATGTAATCTACTCAACGTACATGCACATTCCTATGTAGCTAGCATTCTCATTTTCATCTCTGGCATTAGACTCCTACTCTGACTAAGAGGATTCCTTGCTCGCCTGCATTCTGTCTGCATTCTTTACCATTATGATACAGTAATAAAAGCAGCTACCTTTACAATTTATAGGGAACAAACAAAACATTCTTCATGATAGGGTCTTTCTGTATGTATAAGCATTAGCAAGGTTTACTATGAGCCCCTAAGATGATAAAATATCTATTTCCAAGGGTTGTTATGGCCACAGTCAGGAATTCTTTGTTAAGTCATCTCCATTGAAAGCTCAGTCCTCTGGTAATTTTTATATTTGTCCTTAACTCTCACCCTCTTCCCTCATCCATGTCAATATTTTCATTTCTCTTCTAGGAATAACATTTTTTTTCTACTTACTAATGCAGAATAATGTACCTTTCTCATGGTCATATTTCTAATTAAAGCTCTAGGCCACTTTGCAGATCCAAACACCTAAAAGACTCAATTGAATAAAACAAGAGCAATTCTATTTTTCTTTAGTTGCTAACATTACTTTCATGAAAGAAGACTGACTTAGTTAGCTAGGACTGCTATAACAAATTACCAGAGACTGGATGGATTAAGCAACAGATACTTATTTCTCACAGTTGTAGATGATAAAAAGTCCAAAATCAAAATGCCAGGAGACTTGGCTCTTTGTGAGAGACTCTTTCTGGTTTGTAGAAGACCGCCTCCTTGTTATATCTTCACATGGCATAGAAAGAGAGCTCTGCTCTCTTATTTGTCATATAAAGTTTCCACCTTCATGACCTGTTTAAACCTAATTACATACCAAAAGCCTTTTCTAATAACATTACATGGTGGGGTATGGTTCAATATATGAATTTCGGGGGCACGCATTTACTTTATGCCAAAGTGTTATCCTTTTTAAAGGGCAATTATATATTCTGAATAGCACCTATTAGCAATATCCAAGATGTTTCAAAAAATGAAGATAACTTGCCATTAAGCTGTCCTGGTTATAGGATGTACCTTAAAGCGAGCCCAGGCTCTAGGCGCTCCAGAGCCCTGGCTTTGCCTAATCTTTAGATTTCCCTAAGAGCTGAACACAGCATTAAATATGTTTTTAAAAAAGAGATTAAGAATATGCTAAATTATGACGCTGTAAATTGCCGTAGACATTTTTTCAGCTACTCTATAATAATAATAATATATTTGTATATCACTTGTATAATATCTAAAACAAATGAATACTGATGTGTTTTAATAAACACCACTGATATGATAGATAGTTAACTTGTACTCTGATTAGGAAAATTCCTTTTCCTTATGCTCAGGATATAATTTCATACATTTTCCATAAGAATGATTTAAGCAAATCTATTAACATCTATTAGTAAATGATAGTCTTAATTTGTAGATTATAGTCCCCAAAATAGTTCACATGTAAAATTATTTCTAGATATAAAATGTTTAACCTAGTAAAACAAGCTCTATAATAAACTCAAAGCACAACCACCTCTTCCAGAGAACCAACTTAATATTTTCACTGATCAAGGAACATTAATTAAAAACCTGCTAAGGTCTGGAAACAATTATAGGCATTGTAACTTAGTGATTAAGAATAAAGACACTAGAGGCAGACTGCCTGAGTTTGAATTATGTATCCTAAATGTACCAGATTGTGAGATCTTGAGGAATTTACCTAACTTATCTGTCCAGTTTCTCAACCGTAAAATAGTGATGATGGTGATAATATGTATTTATATTGTTGTTATGAGAGCTGAATTAGTTAATGTAAATTTGTGTTTATAAATGCATTTTTTATTATTATGGTTCAGTAGTGAAGAAAAATAAAGACATCTATTTTCAGGGAGCTTACACTCTACAGAAGAGAAAGAGTAATGAAGTAAACAAATAGAACATTTGCAATAGTAATAACTGCTGTGCTAAGAATTACACAGCCATGTAGTAGGGAGGGAATGGTCATATATTTTTGACTCTTACTAGAGGAGGCTTCTCTGGGCAGGGGACAATTAAGCTAAAATTTTAATGACAATAATGCCAGTGTAAGGAGTTTAAATACTATTCTGTATAAATGGGAAGACTTGGCAGGGTTTAAGGTTGAAGGAAGAGAAAGAAATATGAGGCTATGAACTGATGTCATATATAAAAATTACCTGAGTTTTTATGTGGAAATTATAGGGAGGCAATTATAGAAGCATGGATGGATTAGACAAAGGTGGTAACATCAGATATCAGCCAAATAGTTAATTTTAAGATATATTTTGCGGTTTCATTGGATATACTTTTTAGAAGATTCCAACAGCCTTTTTTTAATTGGACATCTTTTTTTAAGCACAAAATATGAAACAAATAAATAAAAGTTAAAACAGAAACATTCATGAGGCCTAAATGAATCAAGTATTTTCAAATATTTTATTCTACTCATTTAAATATGTTAACATTATCATAAACAGGTCACTTTTCCATGTAATGAAAATCTTAAAGGGAAAAAGAACATTCCATACAACTATGTGTAGAAGAAAAAGCGACAATAATTGCTAAGATAACTCTTAAAAAGAATAATGAGATCACATGTGTCTTTTACCCAGTTTCTCCCAGTGGTTACATTTTACATAATGATGGTCACCAGGAATTTGATCTCAGAACCATGCGTGTGTATGTAATTATATGTTTTTTAATCACATGTCTAATTCTATGATATCAGCATTGCAATCAAAATACAGGGATATTTCATCACCACAAAGAACTCCTTCATGCTAGATATATTTCTTTACATTTTCCTGTTAGCACTGCTTTAGCTGAGTCCCACAACTTTTGATATGTTATATTTTTAATTTCATTACGTTCAATGTATTTTTAAAAACCTTTTCTTTTGTCTTAATCCAGGATGCTGTAACAACACCATAAACTTTCAAACAACTCTATTTCCTACGGTTCTGGAGGCTGGAAGTCCACAATCAAAGTGTCATGTTGTCAGGTTGTGGTGAGGGCCCTCTTTTGGGTGTAGATTGCTAACTTTTCTGTATGTGTTCACATGGCAGAAAGAGATTGAGCTAGCTCTTGGATCCTTTCTTATAAGGGCACCAATCCCAATACAGAGGCTTCACTCTCATGACATAATTGTCTCCCAAAGACTCTACCTCCAAATATTATCAATCACATTAGGGGATAGATTTTAACACATGATTTTGGGGGGAACACATTCAGTCCATAACATTTCTTGAGTCTTCTTCTAGGACCCATAGGTTATTTTAAAAGTGGCTTGTTCAGTTCCAAGTGTTTGAAGATTTTTTTTTTCTGTTATCTTTAACTTACTGATTTCTAGATAGACCCCATTGTGCTCAGAGAACACTCCTTATGTGATTTCAATTATTTTAAATTTGTTGAGATTTTATGACTTAGTATGTCATCTGTCTTGGTGTGTATTCTGTGGGGGGGATGGGGGGTGCTTGAAAAACGGGTATTCTGCTATTATAGAATGTCAAAATATCAACTGTAATAAACAAGAAAAATAATCCTAGTCTTTTATTTAAGGGCCCTCTTTAGTCCATCTCAACAGACCCTTCTCCGAAGGGGAAAGAAATGCAGCTCACAAGAGCCCATTAAACAACTAAAACAAGACAAAATAAAACAACTACCCCCTGCCAATTTGCACACTGTTACTTCTTTTGTTTTCCCAATCTTATTTCTTCTTCTTTTTTATAATAAAAAATTTCAAAGCAATTATCTGCTTTCTTACTTCCCCTTGACTTTGCCTATGTTTAGTTTTACTTTCTATGATTGGCCATCAACAATTAGGCACAAACCATTCTGAACTTCCTCTTCACACTTACTCAAGTGGGAAAGCTGCTGTTTACAAAGTTGCAAACTAGAAAGTGCTAAATTGATGTTGTACATTTGCAAGCATTCACGTTGAAAAAAAGATGCAAAAGAAGACAGGTGAGACATCTTGGGAAGTGATGTGAGAGCAATTATTCTTTTTAAAATGTTTTGTCTGTATATAGTGTGTACACCATCACTCACAGCTTGTCTTCTCTGAATGTGAGTTCTGACATCCTGTGGGTTGCTGTGCCACTTAATTACAGTGAATAATGAAGAGATTTTAAAGCCATACTGTCACAGTTAATAGGCTGAATAATTAAAGTAATAGGAGAGTTGGTTTTCCTTATGCACAATCCGTTTGGTCTTCTAACACCATTGTTTAGATTTTGCTACAAAATGATTTACTTCATCAGAATTTACTGCTGCATTATTTTAGAAGCCTGACTTTACCATTGTGTTAAGCACAAGGACTATATGAAGAATTAACCTTTATGAATTCCCTGGAAATAACATATTAAGGCATATAGTTATAGCTTTATGCTTCCCTTGACCCTCCTCTCCTTACCCTCTTCATTGGGATTGGAGTGAGCAATTTATTAGTCTGAAGCAATATGCAGTTGATAATGCATTCATTGAACAATTATGATTTATCAGATATATTTTTGAAAGGGCCGTACTTAGTTTCATATGGGTGAATAGGCCTAGGCTAGAGATGAAACATAAGCAGAAATTATTTTCCTTGTCATGCGTTAAAAAAGAGAAGAGAACAGAAGCATAGAAATCCAAAAGTAGCTGGCACTGAGAGATGGGTGAGGGCAAGCGTTGTTAAGACTAAGAAAGGCTCATTGGTGCTAAGCCAAAAGGGTAGTTTGGGGTCATATTAGGAAGAGTTCTTAATGTCAAATAAGAATATGCAATTTATCTTGAGGAGAACTTCAGGACTAGAGAAGGTTTGAGCAGAAATGTGGCCTCATACAAGTAATATTAGAAAGATTAAAAAAGGTTAAAGAAGATTAAATTCTAAAGTATGTACTTGATACATGAGGATGTATAATAGTTAATTTCAGATCTTTCAGTGACAAATTATTCATACTTAACCTGACATGTTTAATATTGTTGAGGCAGTAGATTTATATAGTGGAAACTTTCCTAGAATAAAATCAAATGACTGGAAGTGATGTCACCATACTCATCTTAGTTTCCTCATTCTAAAAATTCTGCCTGCCTTGTCTTCCTCATAGGGTGGCAGTCAGGATCAAAATGGGATTTTGACTGATGATCCCATAAAACAAAACCAATATCACCTGCTGAGCACACAAACCAAAGTTTCTGCTTAACACAGTGAAGAGCCCACTTGGGAAAGACCTTTGTTGGGAAAGAAAAGTCAAGGATAGGACATTTGTTTTGAAAGTAAGGTTTTAATAGGAGGGCCTGATTATAATTAAGTAAAGTTTGTGATATAATAATTTAGGATGAATGCATACAATGAGGCATGATTTGAAAATGAATATTTTATAATAAATAGTCATTTTATAAATCCAGTTTAGTAATCTGTTTTTCTGAAAAGAAGCCTCTGAAACAAATAATAAAGTTACTTCCAACATCATCTTCCCGAGAAAGAATTTCCTAGAATAGTAATGTCATACTCATGCAAAAACAGCTGTAAATTAATTTTTGTTTTTGTTTTCTTTTTCTTTCTTTTCTTATAGCCAAGCTTGATTACTAAGCTGTGTGGCTTCAGTTCCTAGTGAGTACAGTCAGAAAGGGTTGTATTAGAGAAATCCAGGTGATTCCTTTAGGTTTCCTTGAGCCTTTAAGAGACATGGATGTGGTTTCAGACCTCCTGAGGAAGCACGGGGTGTCACTATGTTACCTCAGACATGTCTTCCCTGTTCATAATTGGTTGAAACAGTAATTGGCCAGGACCAGAGACAGACAGCCACGCCACACTTGCAATTTGTGATTTATGGCCTGATGCTTAAAGGAGAGCTAAATAGTTTTATTGCTCTGGAATTTAAAATGAGGAAACTGAAAAGCATGTTTGGAAGTGAGATCAAATTATTTTCAGGAATATCTTGAAGCAGATTCTGGGTAAAGGGTATCATTGTAAGTCGAACATTTGGCAAGAAAAGTAGTGAGGGAGCAGAAATTATGAGAAAGCCACCAAGTAGAAGTAAAATAGAAAGATGAGAGCAGATACAGAGAGAATCAGAGATGCCGTGAGATAGAAAACACTGAACTCATTAAAGAGAAAATATCAGCTCATTAGAGAGAGAAGAGCATGTTTAGTGTGAAGGATGTTTTCCTCCTTGGTTCATCTGTCAAAGAAAGAACGGCATTGCCCTCTGTTACACAGTATACAAGACTCACTTACTTACCTCTCCTTTCTTTTCCCTCTCTCCTTTTAAAATCCCTTTTGTCATGTAGTATCATATATATGAATATACCTCTTCATATTCACAGATTCTAGTGATTGTGTAGAGCATCTTTGGGAAGTCATTTTAGAAATTCTGGGCCCAAGAGGGGGTGTTAAAAGCCATTTAGTTTTGTTACTTCTTCCTAACCACATTGAAGATGTACCCCACCCCCTGCAAGCCAAATGGAAAGAGATAAAATAATCTGAACAAATGAACATTTTGAAGTTTTTTGTTTTGTTTTTGTTTTTGCTTTATTTTTGAGACGGAGTCTCGCTCTGTCGCCCAGGCTGGAGTGCAGTGGCGCGATCTCGGCTCACCACAAGCTCCGTCGCCCGGGTTCACGCCATTCTCCTGTCTCAGCCTCCCGAGTAGCTGGGACTACAGGCACCCACCACCTCACCGGGCTAATTTTTTGTATTTTCAGTAGAGACGACAGGGTTTCACGGTGTTAGGCAGGATGGTCTCGATCTCCTGACCTCGTGATCTGCCCACCTCGGCCTCCCAAAGTGTTGGGATTACTGGTGTGAGCCACCCTGCCCAGCCAAAGTTTTAATACTGTTGTCCCAAATTAGTCTTAATTAAGACAACTAAGAGATATGAGAGAATAAAACTATACTGGATGTCTACCCTCTGCAGAAAACAAATATAACATATGACATACTACAAAAACTAAATGCTGAAAGCACATGAGAATGGACAAAATAGGCAAATTCGGGTGGAGAAAGCATCACAACCTCTCTTGGAAAAAGTGAGACAAGGAGCTATACCTGTAAAATCTCATCTCCACCGCTTATAATCTTGGGCTAATGGCAGTGCATGTAGCTTGCACAATAATGGCTGTATTGCAGATGGAAAAATCTGTAATCTTTCTGATCAAAGGAGGCAGAAGTGGGAAGGCAGGAAGCTCTGAACACTACAGAGAGTGAAAGAATAGCAGAATAGAAAGAACCAGAGAAGGGATTCCCGAAACTGGTTTGCTGATATTTCTGACTGATTCCTGAGCCACATATATACGGAAAAAACTCAAAGCAGTTGATCGAAACATATGACCTCATGAAAGGAATTCTGCTTATGAAGCAGAGTTTCCAGTGCACGTACTCCCAAATCATCATCATCATTATCGTCATCATTATCACCATCTGATAAAATTAAGGAAACAGTAAATCATGAGAAAAAAAATGAAAGAGGAGATTCAGAAAGTTGTGGAGATGAATCAAAAGTACAAAATACAGAAACCCTGGGAATCAAGATTTTAAAAATGCTATAATCAGTGGCCAGGCATGGTGGCTCACGCCTGTAATCCCAGCACTTTGAGAGACAGAGGCAGGCGGATCACCTGAGGTCTCCTGACCTCAGAGACCAGCCTGGCCAACATGGTGAAACCCGGCCTCTACTAAAAATACAAAAATTAGTTGGACGCAATGGCACACGCCTGTAATCCCAGCTACTCTGGAGACTGAGGCTGGAGAATCACTTGAACCCAGGAGAAGGAGGTTGCAGTGAGGCGAGATCGCGCCATTGCACTCCAGCCTGGGCGACAGAGTGAGACTCTGTCTCAAAATAAATAAATAAATAAAATAAAATATAAAAAAATAAAAAAAAGCTGTAGCCAAACCCAAATATGTAAACAGAGATTGTCAGAATTCACAGAAAGTTACTGTTAATAAGAAATGTACTTTAATATTGAGAATAATAACTGGAAAGCAAATTGATAGAGTAAGATATCCATGAAATAAGTAAACATAAGAAGAATACAGTGGAAAACATGAAATTTAATAACTACCCAGCCAGAGAGATGAATATGACAATAAAAAGAGAAGACCAAATTATATCTATCTGAAATAAAAAAGGTATCATAGAAGATAATATGTGAAATACATGCACGAGTTCATGCAAATGAAACTGACAACTAGATGAAACAGATAATTTATTGAAAGAAACAAGTTACCAAAACTGATTTAAGAAGAAGTGGAAAGCCTGAATACCTATGTATCAATTTAAAAAATTGAATCCATAATTTAAAATCTTTCTACAAAGAAAACTCCAGTCTCAAATGGCTTCACTGTTGAATGCCATCTACGTTTAAGAAAAAGAGGAAACAAATTCTCTACAAGCTCTTTCACCAAATAGGGGGAAAATACTTCCCATTTCATTTTATGCAACTAGCATTAATATCAATCTAAAACTGGATAAAGTCATAATAAAAAAAAGAAAATAGCAGACCAATACCCCTTATGAGCTATGAGGCAAAAATTCTTAGTAATATATTAAAAAATTAAGTCAACAATATACACAAATGGTAATGCACAAAGACCAAGTGGAGTTTATGCTGGGAAAGCAAGGTGTATTGAAGTAATACAACATCCCCAATTTAAAGAGCAAAAGCATACAAACACTTCACAAAATAAAGTAAATAAATGGCCAACTTGAACTAACTGACATTTAGAGAACACATCATTGGTAAACAGAAAAATACACACTATTTTTAAGTGCACATGAAATATATACTGAGATCAATTATGTTATAAAACAAGTCTCAATAAATTAAAAATATTCAAACCATTCAATATATGTTTTCTAAATACAATTACTAACTTAGAAATCAGTAGATATATACCTGGAAAATCTTCCAATATTTGAAATCCAACTAATGCACTTCTAAATAAAATCAAGAAATCAACAAAAAATGAAAATAAAAGTAGAAAGTATTTTGATTTAAAATGTGAACCAAAGCTAAAGCATTGCTTAGAATAAGCTGATATCAATAAACACATATAAAAGGAAAAAAATCAATTTCATAGGTTTTCTTTCACCTTAATAAACTAGAAATTGAGTAAATTAAAAGCAAAGTAAACATTAGAAAGTAATAAAGATGGGAAATTATTAAAATAGAAAAACAAAAATAAAGACAAAAAATCAATAAGTCAAAAACTTATTTGAAAAGATTAAAAATCCTGATAAAACACTAACTAGGAGTAATTGTTAAACAATAAAACACACATAATAACAGAGGAATATTTGTATATTAAATTATACACTTCTAAATGTTGCATGGTCCAGGAGGAAGTCACAAGAGAAAAAAAATGTTTTTAATTAAGTGAAAAATTTTTAAATATATCAAAAATTCTGGAGGCTGCTTAAGCTTTGCTTTGAAAAGAACCTATGCTATTAAATAGTTACATTAGAAAAGCAGGATGGTCTCAAGTGAATGATCTCAACTTCTACCTTAAGAAACTAGTAAAGGAATAACAAAATAAACATGAAGCAATCCAAAAGAAGAAAATAGTGAATATAAGTACCAAAATTAATAAAATTAAAAATGAAAAAAATGTAAATTAATAAATATAAAGCTTTTTCTCTGAAAAAATTAGAAGATAACAATAACAATGACACCACCACCAACAATAAACCTCTAGCATGGCTGCCAAGGAAAAGAGAAGAGTTACATGTATTAGAAATAAAAGAGGGGAGACTACTATAGATTCCACAAATAGGAAAAAGAAATTAAAGTACTCTTAGCTGTACGTGTACTTTTGACATCTTAGATAGTGTTGAAAAAAAATTCTTGAAAAGACACAAACTACGAAACCTCACTTAGAGAAAACTGCAATATCTGAAGTCTCTATTTATTACAGAAATTTGATTATTATTTTTTAATTCCTTAATGAGATCTCTAATTCCAAAGGCTTCAATGGTTAATTTTAGCAAATAAGACAAAAGTTATATCAATTCTACAGAAACTCTTTGAGAGTATAATGGAGAAGAGAATAACATATATAAAGACAATAATATTCCATGACTAAGCTGTGTCTAGTTAAGCAAGGTTGATTCAGCACTCAAAGTTAAATCAGTGTAATTCACCATATGAACAGGCTAAAGAAAGAGAAGCCATATAATCATTTCAATAAATGTAGAAAAATGAAATGCCCACTTGTAACATCTTAGCAAACTGGGAATAGAAGGGAATTTCTTCCATCTAGTAAGGGACATCTATATAAAATGTCTAGTTTAAATGATGGAAAACTGAATGCTTTTCCCATAAAATGAAAAGCAATGTAAGAATGTCTGCTCTCACCACTCTTGTTCAGCATTGTATCTGAGATACAAACGATTGGCTTGGTTGAAGGGCAGAGCAACCTTTCATATATTTCTGGTAAGCAGGCAAAAGTAGCCCCACCACTTCTTGTAATGGTAAATAGTCTGACTCAGTAATTCATCCCTGAGTGTTTTCTTGACAAAAATGGAAAAGTATGTCCACTCAAAGATGTGCAACTAAATACACATGACAGCATTGTTTGTAAAACACCAAAACCAGGGAGCAAGTCCAATTCATATCAACTGATAAGTGTATGAACAACTTGCGGTATATCTGTACTATTAAATACTACTCAGCAATTTAAAAAAGACCACAATTTTGGTGCACAATAACACATACGAATGAATCGCAAACATATTAAGCAAAGTAAAGTAAGTCAAACACAAAACCCTACATATTTTATGATACAATTTATTAGAATACCTAGAAACTGCAAAACTCTAATGACAGATCAGAACAGTGGTTTCCTTGAGCTGGCATAAGGTGTGGGGCTTGATTCCAGAGAAGCAATCATTTAAAGGTGAGAAACCTGTTTTCTAATCTGATTTCTGTTATTTCTTAATGATTGTATAGAGTTACTTAATTCATCAAACTGTACACTTAAAATTGGTGGTGGATTTTGCTGTATATAAATAATTCCTCAGTTGATAAAAACAGGAATGAATGAAAAAGTGACTTTTAGTACTCCTCAAATTATCATTACCTCCCTAAATTCTTTTATCCACATTTTTAGTCCAAGACATTCTGGTCTTAAATTCTAATACTCAACTCTTTTGAGAACCAAGTCTTTCCAAAAATAATAAACTCTCCATTAATGTATCTGGTATGTCACATTTCCCTGATGCAAACTATTCTTTACTTATCCAAACACCCATACGTCCTTAGCATTCCTTGCTCATATTCTTCAACGGTTTTAAAAAAATTTCCCACAGTTTTATGTATTCAAATTATACACATTCTCATGAACTAATTTAAATATGATCTTTTCTGGGAAACCTTTCCACTTTCCCATTATAATACTTTCATAAAGCATATATTATGTTTAACTGGGATTACAGATACTTGTCTATGTACACATGAAATCTCTACAACAAGTATCTAAATCTGTGTTATCTCTTCCATGTTTCCAGTTTTTAAAATAGATTTTACATAAAGAAGGTGTTTAGTAAATATTTTGGAAGTGGATGATTGATTAAAGGAGTGAATGTCAAAGTTAAATTGCTTCTATTAGTTTATAAAGGTAGGTCAGTGTCCTAGGAGAATGCCACACAGGTAAGACAAATTTGATATTGCTCTAGATATGATTATCTATAAGATATAAATTGGCTAATCCTATGGTCCATTTCCTTTTGAAAAACAAATTTGTGGTCCCTGAGCATATCGAGAACTGGGAAAAATGAATTCAAAGAGAATACAGGCCAGAGAGAATAATGTAAGGGGGTCATAGATGGCAGAGAGTAGAGAAACTTAGATTCTGTTCCCAAGGTAGCTGGTGGATTATTAAACTTTCTCTCTGGTCACATTTCCCTGTTTCCAAATTATTATTTGACAGTCATGATTCTCATTTTTGAATCTCCCCATGATGATATCACATAGTGTTTATGTGTCTACAGATCCTCTACTTAAAATAGGCATTGGCCCATGATCCTTCCTCTCAGCGTACCTCAACTTTCCACAATTTACTGCAAAGGCAAATAACACTGCTGCAAGCAACAGTGATTTTCCTCAAGTGATGGCACTTAATTAATCACTCTAGGCCCTAACCCAGCACCTCAATTCTGTTTGTCTGGTCATTTCATCACCGCCGGATTACTTTATACAATTTTTCATTTCAGAAACTGTGGTGTACTTGTTATAGCACCTATTAGGTTGTTTTCTCAAGCTTTCAACTCAGTTGAGATTCATAATGGATTAACTTGTTATCTCCAGCTCTAAGATAAATGGCAGTAAGATTGTGATTTGCGTGAAGTATATCTTTTGGGGTGTATATAAAGGACCAAGATGACAGAACAGAAGCACTAGGCCTCAACTTAGTTCCACGTCAATGTCTAGAATTTTTTACTTCCTAATACTAGCAACAATTATGCTGAAAACAACTGGCAAGGGTAATATTAGATTTATGAATGAAGGGTGTATTTAATAGAGATGTGTCACCTACTTGCTTACTTATTTTTCTTTAGGGTCTAAGACATATATGTACAAAGATAAATAAAAATTCATGTCTATGTGTTCAACTCTGTTAACTCTTTAATGTTAATAATTTCTAAAAGTGAGAAAGAGATCTAAAAAATGAATAAACCCACAATTTTCCCAAGAGCCCAGATAAACAGCATATGTGGGTATCATTATCCTTAAGATATAAATTGGCTAATCCTATGGTCCATTTCCTTTTGAAAAACTTATATGGAAAAGAATAAAATCAGCTTCCATTTCTGTCTGATATATAAGTAGAGTAATTTCTGAGTGAAGCTCAGAAACTTTAAGCAGGTCCATTCAAAAGTGTTTTGCTTTGAAATTGCAACTAACATGTTTGTCTGTCAGTCCTTACTCTGAAATTCCATTCAAACTATGTATGTCTTTCCCTTGGTTTTATGGCACCCTAATTACTAATGAACAAATCTAGAGACATCTTTAAAAGCCTGGAAAAAGTAAAGTATCTTTTATTTTTTTAAGAGGGAAATCTATTGATTGTGTATGAGGAAAGGATAATAGGAGGAGATCATTCATCCATGCTATTCACTCTCCCCCAAAATATTCTTTTTCCCTTACCCATGTTCTTTAAATTTATTTCTACTCAAGCCTTGACTGTCATTTAAATATTACTTGTTTCAAAAAAAATCTTTCCTGAAACTCAAATTGAATTAGTTGTCCACAACTAATTCACCCTGAACAATTCCAGTATTGATATTTTTCATGTTATATTCTAATGATAGCTTAATTGCCTAGACCCTCAAATGAATTTCAAGTTCACTGAAAATAATGTGATATATTTATCATTCTATCCCTAGTTAATAGACCCTATATTAACATGTAGCTCATTCCAATTTTTTGATGTTAAAAATTGAACAAAACCATGTAGTCAGAAAAGCCTCAGACTTAGTTAAGTGCCTTGCTGTTACCATCTAAAATTTTTAAAAATTTCCTTTGAACTTGTTTTTTATAAGTGAAGTCAATGAGACAATGAAGTATAAAAGAGAGCAGATGAAATATGCCCATCAGGTTTATTTGACACAGTTTCTTGCTGGCTTAATTGCATAGTGTTTTTAATACCACATGCACATAAAACTCCTGTGCATGAACAATACATGAGAGTTCAGTGACACTCAAGGCAAGTTCAAGGGGAGTGTGGAGGCAGGGGTGCTGCTGAGAGTCCACACTCTTCAAAAAGAAGACTGTGGTGCTCTCAAAAAGACGAATAACCAAAGAAACCAGTCATATGTTTTCTAATTCATGCTATTTCACTGTAATGTTCAACATTGAAAATTATGATGTAAAAGAAACAGAAAGTTAGGACCACAAAGATAAACAAAGAGAATTCTTTGTTTCAGTCCTTCTGTATACTGATGAATAGGCAGAGCATGTTGGTAGAAGATGTGCATGGCACGTAGTGTAAAACATTTGAGTTAGTTTTGTGTATTTTTTCACAATTCTTATAAGAACAAAATGCATATGCACTTACGTGCTATAAAATACAAATTGTGCAGTTTGATTATTCAACATGTAAGTTAAATGACATTGCATTTGCATTTAAAACTAGAATTCTATTATATAAAGATAAATAGTGACATTTTTGCTAATAAAAGTTTTAATTCTTCTTTAATTGGAATGATGTCATATAGCAAATATGAGACACCATAACATTATGTGAGACAGTAGAGAAAAGAAAAAGATTTATATTTACTTCCTTTAATGGCAATGATTTCCTGCTTCTTGATGAAGGGGTCCCACATTTTCACTTTGCATTGAGTCCTGCAATATATGTAGCTAGCTATGTAGTACAATTTTACATCAGCAAACATGAAGTGTTCAAATTTTGTGCATTTGAAAGAAAGGTCTTCCTCTCAACTAGCTCCTTTTAGATAAACATTGAGCCCTTGGAATGAATGGCCTATTTGATAAAAGTGTTTTTGTATACATAAGACATTGGGTCACACCAGATAGTTTGTGCTAACAATGTCACACATGCTGAATATCTATTCAGATATTCATCTGGGGCTCCTGGACCATGCTACATCATTTTGACCTCTGGAGGATGGCTGTAGACTTAATAGCTAAGGTCGGTTACACAAGATGCCCCATGCCTATGTGATTGACCCTCAATTATAACCCTGTGCTTGGACCTTCTTGTACTGTTTTATGCACCTATTACCTTCTCTCATTTAATCTATATCCTTTCACTGTGATAAATCATATCTATGTGTATAAAAGCTTTACTGAGTTCTGTGAGTCTTTCTAGAAAATCATCCAACCTGAGGGTGGTGACGGAGATCACTGACACATAGGCTTTAACCTCTTAATTACAAGTTGGAGCACCACATTTAATATTCCCAATAAGAACACAATTAATAGGGTGTGTAGTTTTCCCAATGCAAAGTCGAATTGTTGTTCTAAAAAGGACAGGATTGTCGATAAAAGAAAAATTCACATATATATATTTCTTTATATAGAATATTAAACCCTTTCCACTTATGTAATTGGCAATTATTTTCTTTTGTTTCCTGAGTTGCTTTTTCACTCTGTAATCTTTGAGGCACAGAAGTTTTATATTTTGACATAGTCTACCTAATCTATTTTTTTCTTTTTTTCTTCTTTCATCTTCTTAGAGCCAGAGATAATAAGTTCTGTTGCCTCTGCATTTGTTGTCATATCTAAGGAATCATTGCTAACTCCAATGCCAGGAATATTTTACCCCATATTTTCTTCTAAGAGTTTTATAATTTTAGCATTTGCATGTAGGTATTTGATTTTGAGTTAATTTTTGTATGTGTGTAAGGTTTCTTCTTCTTCTCCTCCTCCTCCTCCTCCTCCTCCTCCCCCTCCTCCTTCTCCTTCTCCTCCTTCCCCTTCTTTCTTCTTTCTTCTTCTTTTTTTTTTTTTGCATGTGGATTTCCAGTATTCCCGTACATACTGATACTGATTTAGGCTCATTAAATTGACTTAGTAATCTCCTAGTAATTATGAGCTATAATATGTATGAACCATTTTATGAATCGTTTCATAGTATGAACTATTCTATGAAAATATGGGTAGAAATGGTTTTGAACAGAATAATTTCAAAAGTCTACCTATTGCTTTTAATTATTGATCTTAATTTGTTAACATTGTATATAATAGCATTCATTTTTTACTTACCACTTCCAACCTAAGTTTCATTCCTGCCAAACAGCTTCAATTTCTAGATTAATTGATATTTCATACCTATGCTCATGTTACTTCTTTGTTTCTGTGGTCTCCTCACTTGAATTCTCCTTTATGCTTCAATAATTCACGTTTCAAGTTGAGTTTAGATGCCTTGTTTGGAAGAAACATACTCTTTTCTTTCTCAATAACTGTCACTTCTACATCATAGTTATGTACAGAACCTACAAACTCTAAGAATACCTTGTATTTACCCCTATGATACCAATGAATGCATTGCATTGAAAATATCCATGTCTACACGCCTACACTTCCAGTGTTTTCTTTTATCTCTGAACCTTCATCCTTTCCTCTTCCAGAACAGAAGGGGTGCTCAGCACTTTTGTGTTGAATGAACTATTGAATGCATGTACTAATCTGCAGGCCCATTCTGATGACGTTCCCCCACAAAATGTTGATTGTATATGATCTTGGAATTGAAATTTATCTGAGTATGTCCACTGTATAATATTTAAAAATATGAAAACCAGTCCAGTGGTAATTTCTAATAACATATCTACAAATTTAATTATAAGTCAAATAATGGCAAAAGTAAATCTATCCAAAATATTTTCCAAACAAATTTTACAACTAAAGACCTGAGCATCATACATAAAGCAAACACAGGATTTTTGAAATGTGGAGAGAAGAAAGTAAATTAGCTAGGGATTGCAGGGTTACCCAAGGAATAAAATGGTGAGTTCTCCAGGTTTTCTTTCTAATTTATATACCTAAACTTGAAGCTGAAGAAGTCAGTAATTCCAAAACACTAACAACAGACATCCAAAAGAAAACAAAGGTAGAAAGAGGTAGAAAGAAAAGAAAAGAAGGAAAAGCAAATAAAAAGAATTGAAAAAATAGTAACACCTTAACTATCTAACTACATAACTAAAGTAAAACCTGCTATACATACCATATAGTTGGATCATGTTTTTGTTTTTGTTTTGTTAACCCTTTCTACGAATTTCTGTTTTTTAACTAGAGAGTTTAATTCATTTGCATTTGAAGTAATTATTGACAAGGAGGGACTTACTTACATTTTTAATTTTGCTACTAGTTTCCTATATGACTCATACTTTTTTTTTTTTTTTCTGAGACGGAGTTTCCCTCTGTTGCCCAGTCTGAAGAGCAGTTGTCCGATCTCAGCTCACTGCAACCTCTGCCTGCCTCAGCCTCCCAAGTAGCTGGGAGTACAGGCACCTGCCACCACACTCAGCTAATTTTTGCATTTTTAGTAGAGATGGGGTTTCACCATGTTGGCCAGGCTGGTCTCAAACTCCTGACCTCACGTGATCGGCCCACCTTGGCCTCCCAAAGTGCTGAGATTACAGGTGTGAGCGGCCTCCCAAAGTGCTGAGATTACAGGCATGAGCCACCACGCCCGGCCTTCATAGCTCTTTTTGTCCCTCATTTTCTGCATTGTTTTTGTGTGTATGTGTGTGTTTAGTTGATTTTTTTTTGTAGTGAAATGTATAAATTCATTTCTTAATTTCATTTGTACTTATTTTACAATTATTTTCTTGTGTTTATCATGGAGCTTACATTTGATACCCTAAAGTTATAACACTTTAAGTTTATAAAAGCTTAACTCTAATAAAATACAAAATTCTCCTTTACAGCTCTATTTCTACTCTTTTTGGTTGCTAATATCACAAATTTATATCTTTGTAAATTATGTGCCAAAATAACCCCAATAACGATTTTAAATTCATTAGCCTCTTCAATTATGTAACAAACAAAATAGAGTTACAAATTAAAGTTATAATAATACTCGCTTTTAGATTTTTTAATGAATTAGTCCTTTAAATCATGTAGAAAACAAAAAATAGAGTTACAAAGTATTGTTGTAATAATGCTACCTTTTATAATTGCCCATGTATTTATCATTATTAAGATCTTTATTTTTTCACGTGGCCGAGGGTTATTATAACACTATGTCTAATGTCTTCTCATTTTACCTTGCAGAGAACATCTTTGAACCTTTCTTGGGATAACAAACTTACTCACCTTTTAAAATGGTCTTAAGTTTTCTCTTACTTTTGAAGGACAGTTTTTTTACATATAAGAATCTTGGGTGAATTTTTTCTTTTAGCACTTTGATCACATTGGCCCACTGCCTCCTAACCTCCAAATTTTCTATTAGGAGATCGACTAATCAATAATAATGTTACTAATGATCTTTTGTATGTGATGAATCACTTTTCTATTGCTGCTTTCAAGATTCTCTTTGTCTTTCGAAAGCTTGATTACACTGTATCTCAGTTTGTGTCTTTGAAAATTCACCTTATTGGAAGTTCATTGAGCTCTTTGGATATTTATAGTGAAATTTGGAAGATTTTCAGCTATTAATTTTTCTCTTTTTTTCTCTCTTCTGAAATTCCTACAATGAGACAATGAGTATGTTGGTTCTCACGATCGTATTCCATAGGTTTCTTAGGCTCTGCTCACTTTCCTTCATTTTTTCCCCTTCTGTTCCTTGGATTTCAATATTATATTAAATAATATATTATCAACCTTCAGGTTAATCGATTCTCTCTTCTGCCTGCTCAAATATGCCTAGTACATTTTTTCATTTTATTTCATTTATTGTGATTTTTAGCTCCAGAGTTTCTGTTTTCATTTTTTTAGGTTTTCTATCTTTTTATTAGAATTTCCATTTTATTCGTATATCATTTTCTTGACTGTCTCCACATCTTTCTTTAGTTATTTCAGCATCTTTTAGAAAGTTGTTGAAAGTCTTTCTCTAGTAGGCCTGTCATCAGATCTTTTTCCAGAAATAGTTTTTATTGATTTTTTCCTTTTATGAGCCCTACTTTCCTGTTTCTTTCACGCCTTTTGTTTTTCTTTTAAAAAACTGTGCATTTGAGTCTAATGGGTGGCAAATCTTGAAATCAGATTTTTCCACTTTCCCCAGGTTTTCTGTTTTTTTTTTTTTAATTGTTTATTGCTTTTTTAATTGTTGTAGGTTATCTCTGTGCTAAGAATCAAGCTGAAGTGTAAACTTAAGGTCTTTTCACATCTTCTCAGATCTTCTTTTCTGAGCCAGCACTTTTTCTGACCCTGGGTATAAGTGATCACTTTCTAATTTCTCCCATATATGCTGTTGTTTTTGAATATTCTTGTCTTTAATGTCTGGCTCCAGGAAGGGTAAAAAAAGAAGGGAAATACATGTTGTCCTTTTAAATCCAAAGGAAGCCGCCACTTCAGTCAAGGGAAAGGCCTCCAAGAAAAAAGGAGTTTCAACAATGTCCAGCTTTTTGTCTGCATCTCTGTGACTAGAAGTGGCAATTAGAGGTTAGAGCACAGATCCCCTGTATTTGGAGGACAGGGTTGTTTTTGCTTACTGTGGATCCTGTGGTTGCATACAAGCTGATCCTAGAACGAGTGCATGACTGACTGCCCAGGGCCTGGGTATGAGGAATGAGTAACTGCTACTGTGCAAGATCTGAAATTGACCAAAATTAACCACAATTGATTGGATACGTCTTCCCCAGGAATTTGCAACCTTCAACAGACTCTAGAGTTCCAAAATTAGTTACATCAGACAAATTCAGCCATATAATTGTGTTCTAGATGGAGCAACAGATTACTGGTGCTTTCTACTTTGCCATTTTTCCAGAATTTGGAGCTTTACTCTTTTTAAGAAGTATTTTCCTGGAATGCATGGAAACATCTCAACTCAGACTAGACATCTTAACCTTTTTTTTTTTTTTTTTTTTTTTGATGTGGAGTCTACTCTGTCACCCAGGCTGTAGAGTGCAGTGGTGTGATCTTGGCTCACTGCAACCTCTGCCTCCTGGGTTCAAGCAATTCTCCTGCCTCATCCTCCCAAGTAGCTGGGATTATAGGTGCCTGCCACCAGGCCCAGCTAATTTTTGTATTTTTAGTAGATACGGGGTTTCACTGTGTTGGCCAGGCTGGTCTCGAACTCCTGACCTCATGATCTGCCTGTCTCATCCTCCCAAAGTGCTGGGATTACAGGTGTGAGCCACTGTGCCCAGCCAACTTCTTTCTTATTCTCTGTACATTGAAAGAGCCAGGCGTGGTGGCTCACACCTGTAATCCCAGCACTTTGGGAGGCCGAGGCAGGCAGATTTCATGGGTTCAGGAGTTAGAGACCAGTCTGGGCCATATGGCAAAACCCCGTCTCTACCAAAAAAAAAACAAACAACAACAAAAAAAAAACAAAGAGAAAATTAGACAGGCATAGTGGCATACGCCTGTAGTCCCAGCTACTGGGGAGGCTGAAATGGCAGGATTTCTTGAGCCCAGGAGGTCGAGGCTGCAGTGAGCAAAGATCACACCACTGCACTCCAGCCTAGGCAACAGAGCAAGGCCCTGTCTCAAATGAATAAATAAACAAAGAAAAATTGGACGATAAAATGAATATTGCAGTGGCAGCCTGGAAAGAGCACTGAAATGAAGATTGAGGATAATGTTTATCAAATATATAATTATAAATGTACCTGTCTGATACCTTCCACAGAATACAAATTCTGTTTGTATTCTTAGTTGTATAGTATTTCATGCAGTTATCCTTTATATGCATGTGTATTTAATAAAAAAGTAAGTTTGCATTGCAATTCTTCCACATGCTTCCTAAAAATTTACATTTTCCAACCATAATATCACTATTTTGACAACAGGTTCTATCAAGCCCCAATCTTTTATACTTGTATGGCTCCAGATAACTGCTGAACATAATTAGAAAAACTTCAGGTCAGTGTCCATTTTCAGTGCCTATGGGGTGAACATTAACGGAATGACAAATCGGGATTCAGGAATTTGTGTACAAATCAAAATTAAAAACTGTAAAAAACTTGAATGAATAACTGAAGTCATTGACATCAGCAGCAAACTTCCATAACACAAAGACCCATGTTTAATACAAGGTCTGACATTTTCAATATGGGTGATCTTAGACAAATCTTAGGTTTAATCTTAGATAAATTCATTGTTTTCATCTATCAGCTTGGATGATAATCCACACCCATTAGATTATGGATATAAAGCTTAATATCATAGGTGAATATATTTTGTAATATACTGAGCATATAGCAGGCATTTTTCTATCTTCTGCTTATGTAGATGTTTTTCAACCTTCTTCACTCACAGTGTGAATCAAAAATGAGATCTCAGTGTACCAGAATAGAAGTATTAAACTAGTGGCTAAAACCTGGACACCGTAACAGTGGCTCATTTTTGCAGGGCTAGCAAGATTGGAATATAGAGTCAAGAAAAGACAATAAAAAGGAGGATCACTAAAAATTATTAAGGAGAGATTATAAATTTAATGATTTTTCTTATAGCCACGTGTTGTGTATATTTGGGAAATTTTTCAGTTTTTTTTTCTGCTTTGAGCATCAACAATGGCAAAGAAAGTTCAGAATTTTATTAATGAGTTGCTGAAACTTTAAAGATAGTTTTGAATTTTCAACTCTACATTCTAGGTGCCTAGAAAAATGTCTAACAGAGAAAGGTTCTACATTTGTGAAATGAATAAATTAATTAATGGATGGATGATTAAATAAATGAAAGACTAAATTATTGTAATCATTTTAAGCCTCCAGATTCAGTGAGAACAAGAAAACACTCAAACACCTGAGACACTTTGCTATTTAGAGAACTGTTCCTGATGATTTCTCTTTATGCAAGATGACACAGCTAGCCTAGCAATAATTTGAACTTTTCAGAAAACAGTTTCACTGCTAAGAATCTGTAGTGTTCAAACACAGCCCAGATTTCATGAGGCTGAGCAAGACTAACTCCATAAAATATATGAGCCAGCCATAAATTTTAGAATAAGGGCCTCTCATTTTAGCCTGCAGAGTATAATGATGAACCTCTTTATACAAGGTCTATTCATGCTAAATCTTGGCCGTCATTGGTGAACTATTCAAGTGGGTTCGGTGAAGTCAAAATGCCATTCTATATGAATGTGAACCACAGAGGCAAACTTTATCATTATATAACAAGTAGAATTAGATCGTATGGCCACTACAATTAGTTTTCAGACTTTTTAATTTTAGCATCAGTAGATTTATAGAATTAATAGATTTTTTAACCACATGCTTGACAGAAACTAATTTTCTTTACTGTTGATTTTTGTCCCCAAACCACTTCTTTATCATAGAACTGCCTTGCTTCAAGGACAATCTTCCTAGTATCGCCAGGGTTTAATTTCTTTTATATCTTCCATTCACTTCAAGATAAAGCCCAAGCTTAAACATGGCGTGCAAGGCTTTCACAGTCTGGCTTCTACCTTTCTATCCGGTTTTGTCTCTCAACAATCTGCATTTTCAACTTTATTCTCCAGTAAACCAAAACATTTTGCAGTCCTACTCAATGTATGAGAGTCTCTAACTGTTCAGTTCTCCTTTTCTGAAATGCTCTACTTTTCCGATCTCTATCTCTCTTATCTCTCTATTTTTTTTTTTTTTTTTTTGAGACAGAGTTTCCTTCTTATTGCCCACGCTGGAGTGCAATGGCGGGATCTTGGATCACCGCAACCTCCGTCTCCCAGGTTCAAGCGATTCTCCTGCCTCAGCCTCCCGAGTAGCTGGGATTACAGGCATATGCCGTCACGCCCGGCTAATTTTTGTATTATTAGTACAAACGGGATTTCTCCATGTTGGTCAGGCTCATCTCGAACTCCTGACCTCAAGTAATATCCCCGCCTCGGCCTCTCAAAGTGCTGCGATTACAGGTGTGAGCCACCGGGCTGGACCCGATCTCTTTTTTAACATGGGAAGCCTAGTCATTTCTCAAGATTCAACTAAATATCCTTTCCAAAAATTGTTTCCTAAACCTCCTAATTCGGTGAAGCAATCCCTCCTTGGTGTTTTCTCCTTGTGCATACATTCATCATGGCATTTACCATATTGTATGGAAATGTTCTGCTTTATATCACAAAGGGAAAAGATCATACAAAACTCTTCTTTGAAACTCCTGGATTTGGTGAGTATTCAAAAAATGTGCTCAATAATATTAATTGAAGTTAATTAAAATAAAAGCTAAGAAACAATTTATTTTAATTGAATACCATCTGGTGGCCTGAAGGCTATCTTTGCTGAGACAAAACAAAAACAGACAAACAAACAAACAAAATACTATTAAATTATTAAACCGTGGGGTTTCAAACTTGTGATATTTCTGGAAAACAAATTAGTTAAATTTTGTTGCCAAAAAAGGTTATATTCCAGGCTTTTCAATGATCAATAGCCATAGAATCAAAATTCTGGATGTCATGTAACAGTTTTGATTATATTTTCCTGTAGTAAGTGTGTTTGCTTTGTTTCATTTTATGTTTGGAAAAGCTATTATATACTCTGCAACACTCAAGAGATTATTTCTTTTTTAAGCTGAGCTTCTTTAATTTCAGATACATAAATTGGCTATAATTCAGAGTGAAAGGTGTCATTATAGTCTAACAGCATTTATAAATGTTCATAGATGTTAAATTACAAGCTATTCAGACTCTTAAAGGAATGCATGCACATGTACATTGGGAAGCAAATAATGAGAAAATTTATCTTTATGTTTGGCTGCACAATCTATTTCCATTCCCTGTGCTATTTTAATTTATAATTTTAACCTGGTCCTAAATCTTCTACTGAAAAGTGTTTCTAATGGGGCCAGTATGAGTTGGTAAATAGAAGTGTGTGGGTGCTTATTTATTGACAGGATTATGTGATTAAAATGTTGCAAAGTGTTCTTAATATTTTAATTTTGTCCAAATGACCCTAGGACAAACCATAATTTTAAAAGTAGTGCTTACTATCATCAATATTTGGTCAGTAGGAGTTCCTTGAATAGTCTCAGTTCTGATTCCAAATTATTTTATTTTATTGAATGACTATTTTCTTTCTTGTGCTGTTAATCTTACTCTTCTTATATTGTATAAATTGCATAATGCATTGAATTAGAAAGAATGTTCATGTAGTAAGTGCCCATAGTAAGTTCATAATTGAGCAATGTAATGTCTCAACAGAATGATTTGTGAAAATTATCGGCACTTTCATTGAATAACCAGGTTTTATACTCACATTCTTTCTAGAAGATAGGTTGGTCAAAATATATCATGTTAGAGTGTTAGAACAGAAAATGACAACTTGTGTAAAATAATTGCTGCTTTAATGTTTTTTTGAGATTGACTAAATTAAGCAGTAAACTTTAATTTCCCAGATATTAAGGCAGATATGCACCCCGAGGTTCACAGGTTCTAAAATGCAGTCATTTATCACTTAATGAAGAGTATACATTCTGAGAAATGCATCAATAAAAGATTTCTTTGTTGTCTGAACATCACAGAATGTGCTTACATAAACATCCTAGATGGTATAGCCTACTATGCACCTAGGCTATGTGGTGTGGTGTGTTGTTCCTAGGCTGAAAACCTGTACAGTATGTCACTGTACTAAATACTGTAGGCAACTGTAACATGTGGTTAGCATTTGTGCATTTAAACATATCTAAACATGGAAAAAGCACAGTAAAAATATGGTATGAATGAAAAAATGGTACACCTTTATAGGGCATTTACCATGAATGGAGCTTGTAGTACTGGAAATTGCTCTGAGTGAATAAATGAGTGAGTGGTGAGTGAATGTGAAGGCCTAGGGTATGATGTACACAACTAAGGACTTTATAAACACTGGCATCTTAAGCTATATTAAATTAATAATATTTTTCTTTCTTTAATAATAAATTAACCTTAGCTTACTGTAACATTTTTATTTTATGAACTTTTAAAAAACTTTACGACTCATAACACTTAGCTTAAAACAAAAAACACGTGGTACAGCTGTAAAAATTATTTTCTTTCATTATACCCTTATTATTTAAACTTTTTTCTATTTTTAATTTTTCTCTACGATTCAAAATTTTTTGTTGAAAACTAAGACCTAAATATGCACATTATCTTAGGCCTACATGAGATCAACATTATCAATCCTATTCTTTTCTACCTCCACATCTTGTCCCACTGGGAAATCTATGATGTCACTAGGTAACAGAAATTTTTTAGCTCTGTTTTAGTCTTATGGGACCACCATTGCATAATTTGTCTGTCATTGACTAAAATATTAGGCACCACATGACTGTGTTATCTATTTAAATCTATGACCTCTAACCTTGTGTATGACACAACCAAACACATAACTATGAATATTTTATAGAAAGAGTATACAGTGAGCAATATTATTTCTATAATAATTTTTTATTAGGCTATCTAATCTAATTTTGTTCTGTGGTAAAATAAATTTAAAAGTTTTGTATTAAAAAAATCTAACATTTTAACTCAAACAATGTATTTCCATGGTGTGGAATAAATAATAAAATTCAAGTTGATATTTAAATAAATGAGATTAAATAAAGTCTCATGAAAGGAGTTTGATCCACAGAAACCTGTGCCATGCCAAACAGTACATGGCATTGAACCATAGACAGACAGTCTGCTTTTGTTGTTTTATTTTGTTTTGCCAAATAATCCATGCTTACAGAACGAAAAATGTGGGGATATTATATACTGGAAGAGTTGTGTTAGTCTTAGGAAATTCATAAATACTTGATGAGCTAAAATGGCCTGGAATGCTAGAGGTCCTTAACAGTCATGCAAACTAAGTACTAAAGAGAAATCTAGAATGAAAGTGTCTAGGCACAGACTGGTTCATTTTGAGCAAAATATAATTTTAGAGAGTGATCATCCTGTTACACTGAGAATGGGGTTCTGGCAACCAGTGAGGTTAATTGTTTTCTTTATGTTTGCTCAGCTGGTGATTATAAATACCAGGATTATAACCTGACCGTCCTGGCACTGAGACTTCTAATGTGATCATCCCACCATGTAGGGAATTTCATAGTTTTCATATTCCCAGTCATACTGTATTTGCAAGTTGGCTTGGATATTATTTTCTCCCTATTTCCATTGTTGAGAGCTAGTTTTAAATGCCAACTCAAAAAATACCAGCTTTAAATGAAAAAGAGTGACAGACATTGTGATGAAGACAGTATGCAAGCTAGGTCTAATAGAGAACTGCAAGTTTTGGAATAAATTGAGGAAATTAAATAAAATTATAGTAATTAGTTCCTTGGCTAGAAGAGTGTAAGCTAATACTTATGACATGACTAAATCAGCAGTTCACTGGTTTATTATGGAAAGTATTTGACAACACGAAACCCAATCAATGTTTTAATAATTCTCCAAGATACATTTTACTTATAATTTGTGGCATTTTGTTTACACTATCTTTACTGGATGACTCATTTTGTTTGGAAAAACATGATGAAAATGATAATAACAATTTAATGTAATAACAGTAAATTTACACATTTAAGAAAAAACTATTTTAGGTCATATGTAAAGAACCCTAGTTTGAAAATTAGAAAACATTAGTTATTTGTCTATTAGTGACTTACTTTAAGTATGATGATGAACAATTCACTTTCTATTCATACGCCATTTTCTTGTCTGAAAAAAGTGAAATTGAGTAAATGGAAAACTTTCAAATCTATTTTAGTAGTTTAATTCTTTATCTGTGTAGAATAAAAGATATGCAAGATGTCAACAGGCAAAAGAAATAAGGACAAATTGCTCTGGTGGTGTGAAGAAAATTTACTCAAATCTTATATCCTGGCTCTTTCTTGTTCCTTTGGTGGCCCTTGAGATTCTAGAGAACACAGTTTTAAAAACTACTGTGCCAGGTCGCTTCTGTTTCTAATATTAATTAGTAAAAGCATGTCTATGAAGTCATTTTTTCCCTACATGCTGAAATGTATGTATATGTTCCAAGCTCTGAATACCAAGAAAAGTCTGGAAAAGAAATCAAGGAAACGAAAGTTTTTAGGCATAATGTTATTTTCTTATTAATATTGCCACTGTCTTCATAATCTCCATACATATCTTTCCAATTTCTGTATTTGAGGTATTAATTGAGCTTTTTATAAGTCATTATGCTTAGGAGTACCTAAAGATAGTTTCCTAGATACCACAATGTCTCACTTGATGACAAACTGTAGTTGCAATGATTATCTCTATCTTTCTTCCTAGATGTCTCATAAATCTTGTCATATGCAAAATTTTCAGTTCTTACTTCATCAGCTTTCCCTTAAGCATGACTAAATCTCCCTGCCTCCCCTTTCTCTCCCTGTGTATGTATATGTGTGAGATACCTCATTACTGTTACCCAATTTGTAAGTCTAGGGATCATCTTGATTCTCTTTCAAATACCACTTTCACCCCATTCAAGTATTTATGCATTCAACTTATTTCTGAGACCTAGAATTTGCCACTTTAAGACTCTCTTATACCTCTATTTCCTATTTTAATTTATACCACTTTAATTCAGTTTATCATTATCCTCTGCCCATGGAAATGTTGCAATAAATCACTTAAATTATAATTTCACTCTAATTTGCTTAGCCATGTTTCCTATGATTGGATATTTATACAGTTTCTATTTTTCATAATTATAAATACTATTTGTGTAGAAATATCTACACTTCATATTGGTTATTCATGAAAGCCTATTAGAATTTATTTAACAGCATGTTTTTGATTTAAAATATGTTTTCAAAGAATGAAATATATTCTCAATAGATTATAATGTTATAAGTTTGAGTTTATAAAGATTATTTCAAAGTCTATGGCTCAGATAATGAATGATGGTTACATCAAACAAAGATACATGGGAAACTTCAATATGAATACATTTGGAATAACACAGTATAAGTTAGATTTTTTTAAAATTTGAAACAGGGTCTCATTCTGTCACTCAGACTAGAGTAGAGTGGCACGATCATAGCTTAATAAGTTAGAATTTTTACTTAAGGGTTTTAGAAAACTTTTGAGAATCCAAGTATAGTTTGAGTAGGGAGTGTGATACATAGGTTTAGAGTTTCAAGAAAGGTGAGCATTTGTTAAGTATCTACACATATATTACTGTCAAAGCCGTAATTATCTATGAGATTATTTAAGGGGATTATATATTCTGAAAGAATTTTCAAATAATGTGGAAATGCTCATGAAATAATGAGACGAAATTCAGGAAAAAAATGATATATATTGTTATGGGAACAAATACATAAGGGTTTATTTACGTAGAGAACATACAGGAGAAAGAATTGTGTGCATAGAAAAAAACTTCAGTAAATTAACATAAAAATAAAATCTATGCATATCTATACAAATTTTATTTTTATAAAAATGTATGATATTATAAATATTAAAATACCATATATAGTATATCTATATATGGGAATTTGTTTTTTAATTCTCCTTTGTTGGTTTTTGTAATTCTCCCACATTATGTTATAAATATATGTTTATTTTAATCACCTAAGCAGTGTCATTTGAAGTTAGGAAATATAAATATGTATCTGTCATTAAATATAAGAAAGGAACAACTAGGATGAAAAAGTATAAGACAGTACAAAAATAGTTTCGTAATTCCTAAAATACAAGTAATTATAAATAAAAGTGAGATAAATTCAAACATAACATATACTTAAAAAAAATCAATGCAATTTTTAGCTACTATTTATAGGAGACTTGGCAAAGGCGGCTCATGATCCACAGGAAGGAGATTCAGGTATTAAAAACATGAACTCACAGACCAATTTCTAAAATGCACAAAATGTGTTTAAAAAGTAATAAAAGTTGAAAAAGTAATAAAAGAAAAACTAAAAGCCTGAAGAGGTAGTTGTGTTCATGGATATGAAGACTCAATATTGTCAAGAAATAGTTTTCCCCAAATGAATCTAGTGATTCAATTTATTCCAATAAAACTTTCATTGAGTAATTTTATGAATATCAAAAAAAGATCCTAAAATTTATATAAAGAGGCAAAATATCCAGCATAACCAACACAACATTGTTGTGTGTTGAGAACAACAGAGCTGGAGGCCAGACAACACCAGACTTCAAGAGCTGACTATAAAGCTTCAGGAATGAAGAGAGTGTGGTATTGGTGAATTAACAGACAAATAGATTAATGGAACAGAATAGAGATCCCAAGACAGATCTACATAAATACAATTAAATTATGTTTGGCAAAGGAGCAAAAATAATATAATGGAGAAAAAATTGTCTTTTCAACAAATAATACTGGAAAACCTGCGAATCCACATAAAAAATGAATAAGGTCACACAAATTAACTCAAAATAGAACATAGGCCATATTGAAAAATGCAAAATGGGGCCAGGCGTTGTGGCTCACGCCTGTAATCCCAACACTTTGGCAGGCCGAGGTGGGCGGATCACGAGGTCAGGAGATCGAGACCATCCTAGCTAACATGGTGAAAACCCGTCTCTAATAAAAATACAAAAAATTATCTGGGCGTGGTGGTGGGCCCCTGTAGTCCCAGCTACTCCGGAGGCTAAGGCAAGAGAATGGCATGAACCCGGGTGTCAGAGTTTGCAGTGAGCCGAGTTCGCGCCACTGCACTCCAGCCTGGGGGACAGAGTGAGACTTCATCTCAAAAAAAAACAAGAAAAATGCAAAATGATAAGACTCCTAGAAGATAACATAAGAAAATATCTACCTAATTTTTGATATGGCAATCAATTTTTAGATATAATAAGCAAAACTACATTAAAAAAAAGCTTCTCCCCTTTGAGAGGCACTGTCAAGAGAATAAGCCACAGACTAGGAGAACAATTTTGCAAAAGACACATCTGATACAGGACTGCCATCCAAAACATACAAAGAAATATTAAAATTTGTTAACTAGAAAGCCAACAATCCAATGAGCAAAACTTCATCAAAGAAGGTAGACAGAGGGTGAATAAACATACAAAAGATGTTTAACATCATATGCTGCAGGTAAATACAAATTAAAACAACGAGACACCACTATACACTCATGAGAATGGCCAAAACCCAAAACCTTGACAACACCAAATATTGATGTGCATGTGGAGCAATAGGGCCTCTCATTCATTGCTGGTGTGAAGGCATATGGTGTGGCCTTTTGGAAGGCAGTTTGTCAGTTTCTCATGAAATTAAATAGACTTTTACCCTACATATAGCAATTCTGCTCATTGGTATTTACCCAAATGAATTAAAAAGTAATATCCACACAAAAACTGCTCACAGATGTTCATGGCAGCTTTGTTCATAACTTTCAAAACATGAAAGTAATCACTATGTTCTTCATTAAGTGAATGAATAAAGAAACTGGTGCATCCAGACAGTGGAATATTATTCAACACTAAAAAAAATATGCTATTAAGCCATGGGCATGGCTTACTATGAGCACAGTAAAAAGATTAGTGTTTGCCAGGCATTTGGAAAGAGGGAAGGATAATAGGCAGAACGCTGAGGATTTTTAGGACAGTGAAAACTATTATGTGTGAGTCACATAATTGTACAGTTGTCAAAACTCATAGAATGTAGAATACCAAGAATGAACCCTAATACAATGGATTTGGGGTGATGATGTGTTAGTGTAGTTTCTCCAGTTGTAACCAGTGTACTACTGCAGTGTAGAACGTCAGTAGTGGTGAAGGTATGCATTTATGGGGGAAGGAGGTATGGAAATTCTCTGTATGTTATGAAGCTAATACTACCCTAAAAAGAAAGCTTATCAAAACAAATAAATAAATAATGCGAAGAATAAAAGAAAATAAGAGGCATAAAAATTCGCATCTTTGACTTTGCAGAAGATAGAGTAGGAAGTTCTAGGAATCCATCCCTCTCCTAAAGCAACTATTTAGCACAACAATTGTCTGAATCAACTATTTTGAGGCCTCTGAAGTCTTGTTGAACACTTGTAACATCAAAATGTCTGCTTGATGAAGAAAAGAAGAAAAAAAATTGTGAATTTTAGCATTTTGTGTAGTAGGTACAGTTTCCTAGCTCCCAACTCTACAGTAGAAATATAAAGGAATGGTACCCTACATTCTTGGTGAGGCTCGCTTGTACCAGAGTGAACAATGGGGAGCTTGCCCTCCATAAACTGGGGTTTTGAGTTTTGATGGATATGGTGCTTTGCTGAGGGGATGACATAGAAGCTGATCATTGATTCAACTATCAGAAAGTGACTTTCCTTGCAGGATTGATTAAAGGAATTTAAAAGACAGAATGCTCTTATTTGTTTTTCTTTCTTTTTCTTTTTTTTTTTAATTGAGTTTATGAATTTAAGTAAATCTCAGCCAAGTCACTGGCCTGACCATGGAGAAATGGAACAGAGACTTCGGTAACCACACATAGCAAGAAATATAGTCTTTGCAAAAATCATTTTGTAAAGACATTCAACAGACAACTGTAATATTAATCAGGAAACAATAACAGTCCTTGAGGAAAGGAGAATATATGATTTCCAGAGTTAACAATTACAATACCCAAAATTTTCAGTTCTTTACAAAAATTTATAAATAATACAAAAAAAGAGTATATAATGGCTCATTTTAAGGAAAACAAGAATTTGATAGAAACCATCCTTTAAGAAGCCCATACCTTGAACCTACTAGATGAAAACTGTAAGTTTTCTTAAAACTTGAAAGCTGTCTTAAAAATGTTCAAACAGGTGAAAGAAGTAATGCACAAAGAATTAAAGAATATCAGCAGAAAAACGTATGAACATAGAATACCAAAAAAAAAGAGACAGAAATTATAAAGTGAACAAAAGAGAAATTTAGGAGTTGAAAGTAAGTTAGCTGAAATCAAAAAGGAAAACCATTAGAGAGTTTCAATGACAGATTTGAGCAGGCAAAGAAAGAATCAGCAAACTTGAAATTAGTGCAATTTATATTATCAGTCTGAGAAGCAGGATGAAAAACAATAAAGATACACGACATGAAGAGAGCCTAAGGGACCTATGATGCATCATCCAGCATACTAAATTAGTACTAATATTAATGGAGTTCCAGAAGAAGAGCAAAAAAGAAAGGGACAGAAAAAAATAATTGAATAAATAATTCCAAAAATATCTTGATAAAACTTTGATAAAAAATATGACTCTAGACATTCAAGAAGCTCAATAAATCTCACATAGGATAAACTAAAAACAATATCTACACTAAGAAACATTACAAACCACGTGGACAAGAAAGCAGTGAGATGATGCTTCTAAAGTGCTGAAAGGTAAATGAAATTTATCCAAAAATTCTATGTTTGGAAAAACTCTATTTCAAGAATGAAGAAGATACTGAGACATACCCAGATAAACAAAAGTTAAAGATGTGCCTAACTAATTGACCCGCCCTATAATAACAGCTAAAGGGAATCTGTCAGTCTGAAAAAATATGACACCAAACATTGACTCAAAGCCATACAAAGAGATAAAGATCACTGGTAAGTGTAACAACCTAGATAAATATAAAAACTATTATTCTTCTTCTTTTTGTCTATTATTCTTCATTTTGTTTCCTACATATTTTTAACAACTGATTCATAAATAATTATAATCTATGTTGACAGGCATACAATATATAAATATTTTGTTTGAAAAATAACAACCATAAAGAGGGAGGAAGATGCTTTTATAATGAGCAGAATTAATGTATGCTATTGAGGCTAAATCGGTATCAATTTATGCATGGTTGTTCTAAATTTATTATGACCATAAACTCCATGGTGGCCACAAAGAAGATAACTAAAAAATATACACAGAAAAGGAAAGGAATAGGCAATACAAATAGCACACTAAGAGAAAAATCAATAAAAGTGTATCAGAAAAACACTTTCTTGTTTTGTTCTGTTTTGTTTTTACACATTCAATGCAACATAGGAAACCAATCTACCATTAATCTGGACAGTGCTGAACACTTTTTATATATTGTATCTAATCCTTGCAACTTGGTATATATCTTGATCTTCTTTTTAAATATAAAAAGTCTTCTGGTTTTTAAAGAGATTTTCCAATATGTATATGTTTGACGCTTCAGATGATTTATACATTAAAGGTTTGGCAAAACAGTGGTGAAAATTGGAACCATTTTTCACTTTCACAAAACAAATTGTACTACTTCTTTTTTTTGGGGGGGGGAAGGAGTCTCGCTCTGTCGCCCTGGCTGGAGTGCAGTGGCGCCATCTCAGCTCACTGCAAGCTCTGCCTCCGGGGTTCACGCCATTCTCCTGCCTCAGCCTCCCGAGTAGGTGGGACTACAGGCGCCTGCCACCACACCCGGCTAATTTTTTTTTTTTTTTGTATTTTTAGTAGAGACAGGGTTTCACCATGTTAACCAGGATGGTCTCGATCTCCTGACCTCTTGATTCGCCTGCCTCGGACTCCCAAAGTGCTGAGATTACAGGCGTGAGCCACCGCGCCTGGCCAAATTGTACTACTTCTAATTACAATGACAATTGTGAACATAGGACGGCCATAGTCTATATGTCTGGATGCTGGTTTGTACATCTGAAGGTTGTGATGAATTATTGGGTCTCATTAAAGCCCTCTCCTGCTTAAATTATTGCATAGGTATTTGAGGCCTGGCATCCTGTTCTGTATGTTGTGATAGTGAGGTGAACCCCAGCGCTGTAGTCCAGGACAGCTCTAGCCTCTCTATTTAGATCAGTTGTATTGTTCCTCTGGAACAGGAAAGTTGCCATTTGATGACTTGCTTGTCATAAGTTGTGTGAAATGTGCTCCTCCAGTTACTAGCAAAAAATAAGGAGAAAATGGAATTGACCATTACTTGAAGCTCAGGCATCAGAGTCTGAGATGAGCCGCTGCGAAATGAGCATGGCATCTGGAATTGAGTTTATAAAATAACATAGTTTTTAAGGAAGTAATTCGTTTTTAAATTATTTTCTGAGATAACATCTCAATATTGATTTGGACTGAGAAAAATTTTCAATGCCCTGGTTACAAAGTTTTACCTATGCTGGGGCAAAGAGTGGGACAAATATGTCATGCAAGAAGAATGTAATGACAGTGCTGGGTCTGTCCTGCAGATCCTGGTTGAGTGATGGATGAAAGGAATTTCTATGTGTGCATGAATTGAGTATTTGAAATAAGCTTTTAAGGTTACTATCCAAAATAATACAGCTAATCTGTGACTAAAATAAAGTACAAATACAAGCATGTTGTTTGAGTTTGTATATTTTCATAAATATATTTGCACTGAAGATGACAGGTGAAATTCATAAATTCATGTATTTTATCTATGTGGCAAGCACATGTTATGTGATAAATGTTCACTTACTTGCATATGTATATATATATGATAATAACCTGAGGGAAAATTATGATTCCTTACTTCTACTTATGCTAACATATATTCTGAAATTTATTTACAGAGGAACATATGTAGACAAATATTTTATAACAGTTCTCAAATTTACAGGCACTACATTAGCTTGAAACCATTAAAAGTATTATGTTTAGAACAAAAAGTAATCAGCAATTTTAGCAACCATCAACAATATAATTCAGATAAATATATCAAATATTTTTCAGTATTTATTAATTGAGTCATCTACATTAATATCTAGACTGAAGCTGCTATATACACTTTGATAATTGATCCAGTTTTATCTGTATTACCCTGTATGTCTACTCCCAACTTAGATTTTGTACATATTAAAGTTCAATGATATCTGACAATTGAATGAATAAATACATATACACTGTGAATACTAGGATATCTGAATTCCTAGGTCACAGCTTTTCAGGCATTCATGTTTGTTGTAATATATTAGCAAACAATTCCAAAAGCTCCAAGAAAATATTTTATCTAATGCTGAAGACTAGATTAAGGTCAAGTGAACTGGAAGGGATTTAAGCTAGATAAAGGACAATTATTTTCTAAGCTTTTAACAAATATTTTTGAGTATCTACTAGGTGCCAAGGAGCACAACAGTTTCTGAATATATGAATTAAGCAAAATAATATTCTTTTCCAGCCAAGACCTTATAGAAGTAAACCAAAAATAGCAATATATTTCACAAGTGTTGTATTTGAAGTAACTACAAGGTCCTTAGTGGAGCACCTTGCTGGTATACTAAATTCTGAGTTAGAGAATCAGGAAAAATTTTATTTCTAATCACACTTCAAATATGATTTCCAAAGGCTATGTAAAAGTTATTCAGATTAAGTTGCTGCTGATGAGGGAGAAGAGAGGAAAATGTTCTAGAGAAGTAGTAAGTATTGAGGAGAGAGAAAACATGAAGTCTTTTAAAGATACACAAGTGTGTACAAAAATCTAATAGCTTCAGTTACCTTTACTTGACAGGAAGTAGTAAAAAATGAAAGAAAGGGTAGGGGCAAATAATGAATGACTGTGTTGTGTTCATTCAGAGCATTGGAACTCATGTTGAGGATAGCAAGTTCAAGGACTTGAAGCAAAGACATTTTTACAAAGCAGATTTTCTATTTGGGAATATCAGCATGAATTCGATATGAAAAATAGAAGGAAGGAAACCAAAATGAAAAGCTAGAACACACTTTCAAAGATATCACAATAATTCTGGGAATAGATGCTAATGACCGAAACTGTGGAGGTGGAATTTGAGAAGGAAAAAAAAGGAAAAAAATCCTCTTCAATATTTTGGTAATATAATAAAAATGGAGATGGATGGATATGGGAGTAGAGAGCAGGGGAAATTAGGTGATATACATGTTTACAGTATGAAAAGCTTCCTGAGTTACAATGATATTCCCTGGTATATAAAACACTAGGGGAGTAGGAGTAGAATATTTTTTTTTGAATAGGGAAACAGGAGTTATGGGGGAATAGTAAAGTTCAATTTTTGACATATTGCATTAACATAGCTATATATTACATACTCAAATAGAAATATCAAGTGGGTTACAGAACACATGGGTATAGAAACCAAGGGAGAGGGCTAGGGCAGAGTTTTAGAGAGAGCCGACTCATGATAACTACTCTAAATTTAAAAGTAGACAGTGTGGAGAAAAAGTACCACAAGATGCACAATTTGGGAGCAACAGATCTTGTACATTTCAAAATGTACAGGAATCTAGAATTAAGCAATTCAAAAAGAGGGCCGCTATCCACAGTAGGCAGATTTTTCACATCACCAAAGGTTCTGGGTGCAGAGTGAGTATGCTTAGGAGCCCTGTAACGTTCCACCCTCCAGAAGTGTGCCTGCAGGACATACTGCACCAAGGTGGAGGATTTTTCATTTTCAAGTGTAGCTTATTCTGTACAGAAACTATTCTGTTAACTTGTCCATCCTAAAGATGTTTTTCAGTTCCTTAGTTAAAAAAGTTGTATTATTTTTAAAGTTAAAACACTTTGTACCAATTGAGTTTACCATAAATGATTATGCTTCAAATAACCAAATAATAGAAAGTGTAGAAATTTTTTCTATATGGTGAGTTATCCTTTAAAAAGTAGTTTGGTTCCCTCATAAAGTTCTGGAATTATGAACTCTTTTGTGGCTACCTACCCTTTCACCCAAAAAAGCTTCCTCATGATGCACTCATGTTTAGCGTATTGTATTTTGAAGAGATTTATTTCTATCTTATTGATGAACAAGAAGCATTTACTGAATGGAATTTAGGAAGAGGGTTTTTAATGATGAAAAATGGAATAAAGTTATAAGTAGTATTTTATTTTTATAATAGCAGAAATTAACATTTACTTGTTACTAAAGTAAAGGTTTGAGCCAAGAACATTGTATAATATCAGCTTGGAATGAAATTCTCAAATGTTTTCTAGATCTAAAAATCTATAATTCTGATCCACCAGCTTCAAAGGCAGATAGTTTTTTTTTCATTACCCATATTATGCATGCCTTTATAATTGTTTCTGCTTAACTTTCAGAGACACTCTAAAAAAGAAAAGTATACAACTAAAGTCATTTTGACATTTTATTGGCTTTGAAAAGGAACACTAACATAACTGCATGTTCTCAGAAATGGACAGATAATCACGTGTTTGAGACTATTTTTAACCTCATGCATCTTGTGTGAAATCAGGTGCAGAGAAGATTTATCATTTTGAGTGGTGTGTTAGTTAGTTAGGGCTGTCGTGACAAAGTACCACAGACTGGGTGGCTTAAACAATAGAAATTTGTGGTCTCACAGTGTTGGAAGCTGGGAGTGCAAGATCAAGTTGTCAGCGGAGTTGGTTGTTTCTGAGAGCCACAAAGAAAAGATTTGTTCCAGTCTTCTTATTTTGGCTTCTAGATGGTGTTATTCTCCATGAGTCCTCTCTGTATCTGTGTCCAAATTTCTTTTTCTTACAAGGACACCAGTAGTATTGGATCAGGGCCCACCTATATCACCTCATTTTAATTCAGTTGTCTTTATAAAGACTCTATCTTTAAATGCGGCCACATTATGAAACACTGGGAGGATAAGACTTCAACATACAAATTTACAGGGGAACACAATTCAGCCCATAACACTCCACTGTCTGGTTCTCCCAAATTCCTGTCTTTCTCATATAAAAAATACATTAACCCCATCCCAACTGTCCCCAAAGTCTTAACCCGTTCCCATACAAACTCTAAGTCCAAAATGTCACCTAAATATCATCTAATGCAATATGGGTGGAGCTGGAGGTATGAGTCATACTGAGGCAAAAGGCCCCTTCAGCTGTGAATCTATAAAAGCAGACAAGTTATCTGTTTCATGCAATGGTGGGACAGGCATAGGATAGACATAATCATTGCCATTCCAAAAGAGAGAAATGAGGACTAAGAAAGGGGTCAAGGTTCCCAACAAGTCCAAAACCTAGCAGGTCAAATTCCATTATATTTTAAAGCTCGAGAACAATCCCCCTTTGGCTGGATTATCTGTCCTTCACATTCACCAGGGTGGTAGCCCTGCCTTCCAGGCAGACCGTGGTAGAAGCCCATTTCCTCAACCCAGGGCACCCTGAACCCTTGGCCTTGAGCCTAGCTCACTGGAATAAGGAGGAGGCGGTCTCACCCACTGGTTTGTGCCCTCTGAGCCTTAACTCCTTGAGTTAAAACCTTAAACCACCACCCAAGAGGTAAACTGGGCATCTAAGCATGATTTTTTAGAACCTAGGCTTAGAATTAGAGAAACCTGAATATAAATCTTAGCATTATCAACTCCAAGCTGATGCTGTTGGTTAAATTGCTTAACCTTTCAGAGTTTGAGGGTCCTTATCTAAAAGTATGGATAATGATACCTCTTAAAGTATGGATAATAACCAAACTATATTATTTATTTTGTTTCCAAAAATTAAATAATGTAAAAGCTAAATATCATGCACTTCATTGGAAGTCAGTGTTGTTATTAAGGGCAAGTATTGACTGAGAAGCTAAGCCAGATGAATCAAGCTTCTATCCTCCCTTCCAATACAGTGATACTTTATGTCATGTAAAATCCATGACAGAAATCCCTGGTTTACTTTTTAATAAGCCTTCTGATTTTTTATACCTACTTAGTATGGCATAACAACGCTGTTTAAAGTAAGTATCAGTGGTAGAGGAGAAGCAATACACTGCATTCCTAGATTTTGAAAGATTTATTTAATTTCCAATTCTTCTTTTTATATTTAGTCCTCTTCCTAGACTACTGAGATTAATTAGATAAAGGAAAAAACGGCTTTCAAGGACTTTTTAGGGCTTCTAGGTAGAGAGAAACTTCTCCCTGGTGTACTCAGAGACATTTCTGTTACAAGGAATACAGTGTTCATTTATGCAGCAGAATAGAAGAGAAACAGCATGGGCTATGGTTTCAGACAAGTCTAAGAGTTAGAACTTCAACTCTGTCCTATATTAGTGAAGGGACATAGGACATATTTCTTTTGGTGGCTCTTAATTTTACTATTTTTGAAATGGTGATGAGAATAATGGTCTCATAGAACACCTACCTCAGATTAAGACAAAATAATAAAGTAGGTGTAATTTTACATTGTGTAAATTGGAAATCACACAATTATTTATTTGGATACCATTCAATTTTTTTAAAACCAAAATCCTGAGAAGTAAAAATTATACAGAAGAGAGATAAAATATTAAAGGTTACCCTCTTTGTAAACCATGGGGATCTCCAATGAGATAGTCAAAACTAACATTTATTTTCCATAAGCCATACTGTTACTATAACTCTCTTTAGATAGATGTAAAAGATCAAGATGCCTTTAAGACCCTAGATATTTGACTTCTATATCTTTAAATTTAAAATTTTCAACTCAACTCTAATTTTGTAAAAATAAACTATTTTTTCTATATATTAGAGGCTTTATAAAATTTGTCTTTGAAATTTTTTTGTTTGTTTTGTTTTGCTTTGTTCTGGAGTAAGTAGAAAGAGAAAATTAAAAATCTTCGGTAACTTTTGCCTGGAAAACAATCATAGATCTACACTAAGTGACTCTCATTTGGCCCTGGCTCACATTTGTCCACTGAATCAGCAAAATTAATTTGCCGCACTATGCCCACTCCCAGAGCCAGGCTTACTCAGCCATGGTTAGGTATTTACCTAGCATGTTAGATTTGCTTCATGTTTATTTTATCAGCAAAGATTATTTTCTGCATGAACTCTCTACATGTTCTTTCATCATTTTTGTCATCTAACAATATAATACTTTCAAGTTCACTAAAGCACGGTGAATGTATTTTATGACAACATGGTTACTTTCAGCAACTATGCTACTCTTGCAAGACTGAAACTCTTCATGTACCTCAGAGTAATTTAAATGGAGAGATAAGAGCTTATTTATGAAAATAAGATTGAAGGCACATTTTTCTGGGACCAAATGAAACAAAATTTCTCTTTAACTTACAGAAAATAATGTAAAATGAACCTAAAGGAAGGTTTGAAAATATTAAAAGGAACAAATTGCGGAGAAAAATCTTTCTTCAGAAAGGTTATGTTAGGCGATAGTTAAGCTTCCATATTGAATTTAAAAAAAATCCCTTGGGTGAAGGTTTTTCGAGATTAAGTATGTAGGTTCAATGACAGGACAGATAATAATTCTCTTTGTCTGAAAGTTAAAGTTAAGGCCACCATCAAAAATATAATAGAATATCAGGATAGAAATCAGAAAGCATAAGTTAAGTGATATTTAGTCATTTTACTATAGTTCAAGGTTTACAACAACACTTCCACATGCATTAATTGTTTCTCTTATGTCCTATTCAGGGTTCACTAGTAACTTTATCCATCTGTGAGTTTGGGGAAGCCATCAGACAGCTGGTGATAATAGCTAGACTTATGACACCATAAAATATTTAAAAGTAAATGAGATAGATAACTGGAGTAACTTTTGAGAAAACTGCTAAGAATTAGTTTTATGTGTAATATGAAATTATTTATTTGTTATTGTAAAAGTGTGATAGAATTAATTACAATTTTAAGCTTATTTTCAGATAATAAGAACATTGTAGGAAGTTGCAAGGAGATTCCACAATCACCCTTCAACAGCACTCACAATGGTAACATCTTGTATAATGATCGTAAAATATTAATGCCAGGAAATTGACATAGTACAATTCACAAAGTTTATTCAGATCTTACCATTTTCACAAGCACCTCTTTATGTGTGTGTATAATTCTATAAAGTTCTATCACATATGCAGCTTCATGTAATGACAACAACCACAATTGACATACAGAACTGTGCCATCACTTCAAGGCTCTCTCTTGTCACCCATGTATAGCCACATTCGCATGCTACCCCCTCCGCCGATCCCTATTAGCTATCCATAACTACTTGCCATCTTCACTATGTTGAGACTTCCAATAAATGAACATGGTTAAGTATCTTCAAACACTTTGGTCACTTTTGAGACTTTTTATTACAGCTTCAATCCTCATTCCTTGTTATTGGTCAATTCAGGTTTTGGATTTCTTCATGGTTCAATCTTGGTAGGTTGTATGTGTCTAGGAATTTGTCCATTTCTTCTAGAATTTCCAATTTATTGGCATATAGTTGCTCATGGTAGCTGCTAATGATCCTTTGAATTTCTGCAGTATCAGTTGTAATAATGTCTACTTTTTCATTTTTGATTTTATGTACTTGGATCTTCTCTCTTTTTTCCTTATTCATTATTCTTTATTTCATTTACTTATTTATTTTTTTGGATTCAGAGTCTCGCTCTGTTGCCAGGCTGGAGTGCAGTGGTGCAATCTTGGCTCACTGCAACCTCTGCCTTCCAGGTTCAATCCATTCTCCTGCCTCAGCCTCCAGGGTAGCTGGGACTACAGGCGCACACCACCATGCCCAGCTAATTTTTGTATTTTTAGTTGAGGCGGGGTTTCACCATGTTGGCCAGGATGGTCTCAATCTCTTGACCTCATGGTCCACCTGCCTTGGCCTCCCAAAGTTCTGGGGTTACAGGTGTGAGCCACAGCCCCCAGCCTCTCTCTTTTTTCCTTAGTGTGGCTAAAGGTTTGTCAATTTCATTTATCTTTTTTTTTTTAAGAAAAGCACTTTTGCTTCATTTATATTTTGTATTTCTTTATTTTTTATATAAATAAAATATAGTTTTATTTATTTCTTGTCTGATCTTTATTATTTCTTTTCTTCTACTAATTGGGGGTTTGATTTGCTCTTGCTTTTCTAGTTCTTTAAGATGCATCACTAGATGGTTTATTTGAAATTTTTCCTCTTCTTTTGATACAGGCACTTACAGCTATAATCTTCCCTCTTAGTAATGATTTGCTGTATCTTACAGGTCTTTGTATGTTGTGTTTCCATTATCATTTGTTTCAATATAATGAAACCAATTTTTCAGTTTCCTTCTTAATTTCTTCATTGACCTATATTGGTCATTCAGGAGCATATTGCTTAATTTCCATATATTTGTATAGTTTCCAAAATTCCTTTTGTTATTAATTTCTATTTCATCATGGTCAGACAAGATGCTTGATATTACTTTACATTTTTTAACGTTTTAAGATTTGTTTTGTGAACAAACATATGGTCTATCCTTGAGAATGATCCATGTGCTGAGGAAAACAATTAATATTCTGCAGCCATGGGATAAAATTTTCTGTAAATATGTATTAGATCCATTTGTTCTACAGTGTAGATTAAGTCTGATGATTCTTTGTTGATTTTCTATCTGGAAGATCTGTCTAATGCTGAAAGTGGGGTGTTGAAGTTTTCAGTTATTATTGTGTTAGGACATATCTCTCTCTTTAGCTCAAATAATAATTGCTTTATATATCTGGGTGCTCCAATGTTGGATGCATATACATTTAAAATTGTTATGTCTCTTGCTTAATTGACACCTTTATCATTTTATACTGACATTCTTAGTCTCTTCTTATTAGTTTTTGTCATAAAATCTATTTGTCTGTTGTAAGTATAATGACTCCTGCTCTTTTTTTGTTTCCATTGGTATAGAGTATTTTTTTTTCATTCCTTCATTTTCAGTCTATGTGTGTCTTTATAAGTGAAGTGTGTTTCTTCTGGGCAACAGATCAAAGGGTCTTGTTTTTTCATCCATTCAGTCAGTCCATGTCTTTTGATTGGAGAGGTCAGTCCACTTATATTTAATGTTAATTAATAAGTAAGTGCTTACTTCTGCCATTTTGTTATTTGTATTCTGGTTGTTTCGTGGTCTTCACTTCTTTCTTTTCTTCTTGTCTTTCTTTAGTAAAGGTGATTTTCTCTGGTGATATGATTTAGCTTTCTGCTTTTTATTTTTTTGTGTATCCCTTGTATGTTTTTTGGTTTGAGGTTACCATAAGGCTTACAAATACTATCTTGTAACCCATTATTTTCACTGGATAAAAACTTAGCACTGTTCTCATAAACAAAGAAGCACAAAGAAAACTAGTAAAAACTCTATGTCTTAACTTCATTCTTTTTAACTTTTTGTTGTTTCAATTTATATCTTACTGCACTGACTATGTCTTGAAAAATTGTTGTAGTTATTACTTTTGATTGGTCATCATTTAGTCTTTCTAGTCAGGACAAGAGTAGCTTACACACCACAGTTTCAGTATTATAAGATTCTGAGTTAGTTTGTATACTTACTATTATTAGTGAGTTTTCTACCTTCAGGCAATTACTTTTTGCTCATTAATGTCCTTTTCTTTCTGACTGAAGTACTCCCTTTAGCATTTCTTGTAGGACAGGCCTGGTGTTGATGAAATTTCTCAGCTTTTGTTTGTCTTAGGAAAGTCTTTATTTCTCCCTCCAGTTTGAAGGATATTTTCACTGGACATACTATTCTAGGGTGAATGTTTTTTCCCTTCAGCACTTTAAGTATGTCATGCCACTTTCTCCTGACCTATAAGATTTCCACTAAAAAGTCTGCCATTGACCATATTGGAGCTCCATTGTATGTTATTTGTTTCTTTTCTCTTGCTGCTTTTGGGATCCTTTCTTTATCCTTGACTTGGGGAGTCCGATTATTCAATGCCTTTCTTTGGGTTAAATCTGCTTGGTGTTGTATAACCTTCTTGTACTTGGATATTGATATCTTTCTCTTGGTTTGGAAAATTGTCTGTTATTATCCCTTTAAATATGCTTTCTAACCCTACCTCTTTTTCTACCTCCTCTTTAAAGCCAATAATGCTTAGATTTGCCCTTGTGAGGCTATTTTTTAGATCCTGTAGGTGTATTTCATTTTTTTATTCTTTTTTTTCTGCCCACAGACTGTGTATTTTCAACTAACCTATCATCAAACTCACTAATTCTTTATTCTGCTTGATTATGCTGTTAAAGAACTCTGCTGCATTCTTCAGTATGCCAATTGCATTTTTCAGCTCCAGAATTTCTTCTTGATTCTTTTTAATTACTTCAATCTCTTTGTTAAATTTCTCTGATAGAAGTCTGAATTCTTTCTCTCTGTTGTCTTGAAATTCTGAGTTTTTTTTTCCCACAGTTATTTTGAATTCTCTGTCTGAAAGGTCACACAGCTCTGTTTCTCCAGGATTGATCCTTGGGGGCTTATTTAGTTCATTTGGTGAGGTCATGTTTTCCTGGATGGTGTTGATGCTAATAGATACTCTTTGGTGTCTGGGAATTTAGAATTAGGTATTTATTTTAGTCTTCACTGTCTGGGATTATTTGTAGCCATCCTTCTTGGAACAGCTTTCCAGATATTTGAAAAGACTTGTTTCTGTGCTCTAAACTGTAACTCTAGTAGGGGGAATCTCAAACCCAGTAATGCCATGGTTCTTGCAGACTCAGCGGTACTGCCTCGATGGTTTTGGACATGCTCCAGGGGAATTCTCTGGATTATCAGGCAGAGACTCTTATTCTATTATCTTACTTTCTCCCAAACAAACAAAATCTCTCTCCATTCTGAAACATCTAAAGCTGGGGGTGAAATGACACAAGGACCCCTGTGGCTGCCACCATTACGACTGTATCTTCCCCTAGATTTCATGGAAGATTTATGCGGGAAAACAACCTTTTCTATGTGTATACAAAAAAAAATGAGGTAAATGAATATAGCATTTGCTCTGATGGCAACCTTGTGTCCTTTTTTTAATTTTAAAGTTATAAATATTATATTTCATTTAAAATGGTAAAATAGCAATAAGTAAATAATAGCAAAAAGATAGTGCATGGGTTTGCTAATCTGCTTACTGGTGGCATTTTCAGTTAATGCAATCCTCTGGAAAGCAAATTTCCAAACTGTCTCAAGAATAACAGAGTTATCCTAGCATTGGGCAGAATTTTCACTAATGATGCAATGACATTAACATAACAAAAGAAATCAGCAACAGTATAATAATTACATTATTTATGAATGAGAGGTTTATTTTCTTCTCAAGAAGGGTTTTTGTTGCATAAAATTATTATAATAGCGTTAGGTCTTACTGAAGATCTTTTTTGATATAGAAGGGGAAGACCTAAAGTTAAGTAACCACTTACTAATTTCTAGGCACACTCACCCACACCCACACTATTTCTTTTAATTCTTCCAACTACTGTTGACAGAGTTTTGAAAGCTCTAAGTGTCTATTTTTATAGGTAGGTAAAATGACATTCTGAGAAAATAGGTTATTGACTTCATAAACATAAAGCTAGTAAAAGGCAAAAACAGGATTCAATTTCCAAATTTGTATACCCAAGCTCTTATAACTCAGTATCTCCAGTACTCCACCACACTCTTAGTACCCATTGATACTCCACTATTAAAAAGAGATATTGCTGGTCACAGTGGCTCACAACTGTGATTCCAGCACTTTGGGAGGCAGAGGCCGGTGGATCACCTAAAGTCAGAAGTTCAAGACCAGCCTAGCAAACATGGTGAAACCCTGCGTCTACTACAAATATAAAAAATTAGCTGAGTGTGGTGGCATGCGCCTGTAATCCCAGCTGCTTGGGAGGCTGAGGCCTGAGAATCGCTTGAACCTGGGAGGTGGAGCTTGTGGTGAGCCCAGATCACGCCATTGCACTCCAGCCTGGGCAAAAAGAGCAAAACTGCATCTCAAAAAAAAAGGAAGAGAGAGAGATTTATTGCTACTCGAGACACTGGGGCAGGAGAATTGCTTGAACCTGGGAGGTGGAGGTTGCAGTGAGCTGAGATCGTGCCACTGCACTCCAGCCTAGGCGACAAAGCAAGACTCTGTCTCAAAAAAATAAATAAATAAATAAGACACAAAGAGAGAGATATGACATTTATTTTTTCTTAGTATTTTTGAAATCATTGAATCTGAAAAAATAACACTAAAACTAAGCAATATATACTTCATAATCAGGCAAAAGTGATACATGTTCAACCACAAATTAAGTTATGATAAATTATCCTCATCAAAAAATTTATAGCAGAGTCAAAGAGTAAGTGTGATTGGAGAGTAGAGGAGTTGGGAGAGGGAAGTGGGGTGGTACGTTTAAGGCGGGAAAAATTAAGTGTATTTTAAAAAGTTAGTCTTTAGGATAGCTATTCGAGTAATTTTTCAGAAGCTTTAGCAATACCAAACTCTTAGTGACTCATTTCACACAGTAACAAACCTGAACAATGAAGTTAGGTTAAACAAACAAAAACAAACAAAAAAAAACACTGATTTAAATTACGTCTGTTTACCAGGGATTGAAAGAGAGTCTGGGTTGCCAGATGTCCTGTCCCAAACTTTTCATCCTTGTATTTTAGCATTCCCTTTAGCATTTATGTACATATTGCAGAGTAGATATTTTCTTCTTAAGGTCTAATAGAAAAAAAAGTTACATCTTCCCCGGAGGTGTTAAAAATAAATTTAAAGAGGAAAAAATGGTGTTGCAAATGTCAGTAATATGTTCTCCATTGCTTTTTTTTTTCTTATTTGTGGATGAAATACTAGGAGGAAGTGAAGTCATTGTAAGCACTGTGATTTAAAGATTTATATTCACCACTTAAAGATACCACACCAGTAGGTAGCCAGATCAGTAAATCTTGTCCAATTCTTATCAGCAGGTAGACAAGTCTATGGAAGGAGGGGAAAATGTTGTACTGCCAGGTTAATTCAATAAATTGAAGTGTAGAAAGAATTAAGACTCTATGGAATACTCAAAAGCTCATTCAAGTTTCTTGCATTTTTTAGACTTTTATATGCCTGCTGTTTTGAAAATATAACTTCAAATTATAAAGATATAACACCAAGACATTGGGGAAGCATTTCTTGTTTGTTTTGTTTTGGTTTGAGGGTCTCCAAACTGTTTCAGAAAATGAACATAAATGATTTTCAGGTATGGCACTTTGTTGCTGGTTATAGTCACATGATTGACTACTTTTTTACACCTAGCCTTCTTGACTCTTTTGTAGAGTCTCCACTAAGAGAGGAAGAGGAGGGGGAATTGTATGATAAATAAAGTAATAAAAAGTCCCTGTAATATAATTTGAATATTACAATATGGAGACTGCGTTATTAAAATTTAAAGGTGGCACTATGTAAGGATTACCTGATGATTCCTAAAATTGGGAAACATATCAGTAGTTTCTGTCCAAAAGTATACAAAGTAACTGACCTCAATTATTCTGTAAAACATGATTGTAAATTTTCAGGACTCATTGATTTAATATCATTCAAAAAAGTTTTTAAAAAGAGATTGGAATCTATTCAAGTCTATATTATTTTTACCCTATCAATTTATGATTTTGACAGTTGTTTGTGCCAAGAATAGAATAAGTCAAAGGTTGTCGGTCAACGTTGTAAAACTTCCCCTACACAGGTATACTATATCTTATATTTAAAATTGTGTCTGGAGTTGGTTCCTACCAGTGGGTTCATGGTCTTGCTGACTTCAAGAATGAAGCCACAGACCTTCACGCTGAGTGTTACAGCTCTTAAAGATGGCACAGACCCAGAGAGTGAGAGGTAGCAAGGTTTATTGTGAAGAGCTAATGGACAAAGCTTCCATAATGTGGAAGGGGACCCAAGTGGGTTGCCACTGCTGGCTGGGGTGGCCAGCTTTTATTCCCTTATTGTCCCTGCGCATGTTCCATTTCTGTCCTATCAGAGGGCCCTTTTTTCAATCCTACCCACGATTGGCTACTTTTAGAATCCTGCTGATTGGTGCATTTTACAGAGTGCTGATAGGTGTGTTTTACAGAGCACTGATTGGTGCATTTTGCAATCCTCTTGTAAGACAGGAAAGTTCCTCAAGTCCTCACTTGACCCAGGAAGTCCAGCTGGCCTCACCTCTCAAAATCATTCTGGGAAATGTGACTTTCTCTTATGTAATCAAAAATGGCATTTGTATTATCCCTTTTTGCTATTTGGGTCCTTCATTTTTCATTAAACTCAGCAGCACTGAATACTATTCAATTCTCCTTTCTGGAAACATTTTCTTCTCTTGATTTATGTGACCTCATTCTTCAGGCTCATTCTAAAGGCTTTATTTATGGCCTTTTGTTATTATCTGTCTGTTTGTTTTTCTTTTTGCCTCTCAGGCCCATACTGCTCAGTCTTCTTTTCTTACTCTCTACCTGGACCGGGCTTAGTCCAGAGCCCTATTCTCCTATTCTATTCTCCTTATGTTCTTTCTATGAGACATCCACACTCCTGTCTTTAGAGCCATCTGTGTGTTTATGAGTCCTAAAATTGTAACTCCAGCCTCTCTTTTGAATGGTACTCCTATGTGGCCAATTTCCTCCTTTCATTTTTCCTTAGTGTCTCGGTGGCATGCCAAACTCAACAAGTCCATAATGATTTATTGATTTGCTGGTATTCTCAAATCAACTTCTTCTTATGACATTTTGCCAAATGTGTCATTTCTCTCTACCTTTAGTGCTGGCATCTTAGTTTAAGCCACGATTACTTCTTACCATCCTAATGCATTTGCAGGAGCTGGCTAATTCACTAGCTTTTTCTCCTCCTGCCCTTTTATTTTCTTCAAAGAACTGTCAGAAGGAGGTATAAACTTGTTCAGTGATTTCTGTTTGATCTTAAGAGAAATAAAAATCTCTTAATATGACTTAAGGTTTGCATTGTGTCCCCCAAAAGAAGATATGTTAAAGTCCAAATCCTCAGTACCTAAAAGTGTAACCATATTTAGAAATAGAATCATTACAAATGTAATTAGTTGAGGTCAGACTGGAGTAGGATGGGCTCCTAATCCAATATGACTGATGTCTTTATGAAAAGATGGCCATGTGAAGAGACAAAATCACACAGAGGAGAATGCCATGCACAGAGCTTGTAAAAATGTACTGTTTACCCTCAGTATCCTCAGAGGATTCATTTCAGGACCTCTCGTGGTACCAAAATCTGCTCAAGTTCCTTATATAAAACGGCATAGTATTTGCATACAATTTACATATATATATTTATTTATTATTTATTTATTAATTTTTTTGTTTTTTGAGACAGATTCTCACTCTGTCACCCAGGCTGGAGTGCAGTGTGCAGTGATGCAATATCGGCTCACTGCAACCTCCACCTCCCAGGCTTAAGCAATTCGTGTGCCTCAGCCTCCGGAGTAGCTTGGATTACAGGCACGTGCCACCACGCCCTGCTAATTTTTTGTATTTTTAGTAGAGACAGGGTTTCACCATGTTGCCCCAGCTGGTCTCAAACTCCTGAGCTCAGGTTATCCGCCTGCCTTGACCTCCCAAATTCTAGGATTATGGCCCTGAGCCACTGCGCCTGGCCCTGCTATATATTTAAAATCATCTCTAGATGACAAATAATACCCAATACAGTATAAATGCTAAGGAAATAATGTCTCTGAAGATGCGGAACCCTTGGATATAGAAGGTCGATTATATCTGCAAGCCAAGGAATACCCAGTATTGACAGCTGGAGAAAGTTAAGGAACAGATTCTCCCTCAGAGCCTTCAGAAGGGACCACCACCGATGACACCCTGATTTTGGACTTCTGGCCTCCAGGATTATAAGAAAATAATTCTCAAAAACCATCCAGTTTTTTTATGGGAAATCCAGGAAAGCTAATACTATACAATGGCTTAGGATTCTTCAAAACTGAGTTTCAGCCTTCCTTTTCAAACCTTACCTTGCATTCCTCTCCTTCTCTCCATTGGCTTTAGCTATGGTGGCTTTATTTGAGGCCATTGTCCACCTCAGGATACTTTGGCTGCCCACTCTATCCCACATGCTCCTCTCTCACTCTTGGACTCCAGCAGATGTCACCTTCAATGTCACCTCTTCAGAAAGATCTAGATTACTTTCTTAACTGTTTTGATAGAGGAACTTATTTTGTAATCAAACATTGATCTATCATTTGAATATTTTTTCATTAATATATTTGTTTGATGAAGAAAGAAACTGTGACCCCATGAGACAAGCACCTAGCACAGCACCTGGAAAATAGTCTTTGATCAACTGAGTAATAAACAAAAATAAATTAAGCCATTTAAAAATAGATTTGAAAACATTACTAGGAAGCTGGCTGTAGAAGGCAATGTTATGTAGAATACTTTTGAACAAAAATGATCTTCATTTCCTGTAACTTGTCCCTATTTACAGTCAAGCTTCCCTGAAACAAGGCATAGCTATACAAGGTCCAGAAGTTCACCAATTAGCCTCAGAATAATAATAGTCGTTAGAGACTAGTTTCCCTGATCGCATCTGTGTCTTTTTTCCAGCTACAATTGCAATGTGTTCCTGAATGCCTTAATCTATGCCCACTTATAAAATTAACACATCTGTTGTGTTAATTTTGAAACGGAGACTTCTAAGTTCCTTAGGGAACTGAAATCCTTAAAGGTCAAATTATTTAAGCACAATGTCTGCCATTTAATTTTTGACCTAAAAAATAGCCTTAAAGCCCTCAGGACCACAGTGTTTACCTTGGGAGGATGGAGATGCTAAGAACTGACCTCCCTTTCTCCCAGGATTGCTGTGCACATCCCTTGGTAGTAAGAAGCACCTTCCAGGTGTTTTTCTGTGTAAACAGAATGGAATCTGTGTATTTAATAATTGCAAAGAAATCTTAAGGTGTGGGACACCTTTCACTTAAGGATAGTGAAAAAAAAAATGTGGCCTAAATGGAAAAACATTGTATTTTTTTCTAAGCTAATACAGCCAGTTAACTACACAGTGTTCCCATTAATTTTTTGCAGATACTCCCATGTATAAATTTAGCCTATTACTTGAGTTAACTGTTTAATGATAGGATGGGTTTCACAAAAATTTAACCTAGCAGGAAGTTTACAAGTTCTATGAAAAGTAATTTAATCTGATGAACATAGTGTTTACAGAATCACGTAAAAGCATGATCTTCCTCAAAAAAGTTCTGGGCTCCCACCCATTGCCTGTAACTACTCATCCCTTATTTTTCCCTCTGCCACTACTTCTAAAATTTAGGAAAACAAAGAAATCAATTAAACACTATCTGTAGCTTTGAACATTTCAAACTTGATGTGACTTATCAAACACTTCAGTTGAAGGGGAACTGATGATGATGTTAAATGATAAGCCATAGGATATTTTATATAAATACAAACTAAAGAATTATGTCTCAGTGATTTTGGTGAGGATTAAATAAAATCTTATACTTAAAGTCCTTAAAAATCATGTATATATAATCATTTCTTACAATAAACGTCAAATACATGGTAAAACATTTAATAATTCTTCTCAAACTTGGTGCATGTACTCCTGGGGTCCACAGTTGTATATCTGGTGCATAGAATGCTCAAGGGAAAATATGTCATTTCTTCTTAGAGTTTCAATTTTTCTTCAAAGTAGGCAATATACAATATTACCTTTACATTAAAATAAATGGCCACATTGTATACTATAGCAGAAATTATATATAAATACATAAAATCACATACATATATAATTATATACATGTAACTATTAGATTTTAAAGAACTTTTCTGCTTCTATCTGTCTAGGCTTCCTTGGGTGGTGCTTGACCCCAGCCCAACCATTTTTAGGTACTCTTACTACTAACCGCTATTATTTTCTGTCTTCTGCCATTCCAAATTCCTTTTGCAAAATTATCAGAATTGTTACTGGTTTATATTAAATTTGTATTCACAAATTCTACCTACATGAAATTTTAAATAATTATATAAATTCCACGTCAGCAAAAGGCTCTAGTGCCTTGCTTAGCAGATAAAGAACATGGTACAAATCTATTAGGCATGTTCAAAAATGTTTTATTCATCTTTAAGCACAATGGCTTATGGATTTTTGTAATAGCTGGGTAGTACGCAGAGAAAAGGAATTTTGAAGTCAACAACCTCAATCCATCAGATAATAGGCATGCAAATATGGAAAGATTTCTTACAGTTTCAGGAACAATGTTCCCATCTGTAATAACAGACATACTAACAACTGTCTTGAAAGATTGGTGATGTAATGTAGTAAAAAGCCTAGGACAATACCTGTCACATAGTAGGTGCTTAAAAATAGTAGACATTATTATTCTTTAAATTCCTGTTTGGAGTAGGATTGTACATGGCTAAATTTATAAAAATGAAAATACATTAAAAAATACAATTGTAAATTGTTCTAATTGCTTCTTCACAGTAATACTGAAAGAGCTTTTAAAATAAAAACATCTTTTTCCTCCATTTATTTCAATTATGGTATCCAGGGTTAGACAAGTTGTTGCTGCTTCAGGGCCATTCTTTCTCTGAGGTAAAGAAATAAAAAGGTAGAGGTTTTAACAGTTGTTTAAAAATAAAGGTAAAATATGAATGTTCTGCTTCCTAAAACTGACTTAATTCTCTTTTAATGTGCTGGGGCTTTGCCAAGATTTAAACTGAACTCCTGAATTTGATTTTGTTTAAAAGATTTGATATTTGCCATCACAGCATCATTTTTTAAAAGTTTAGGGCCTATTCATCAAAATAATGTTTTTGGCATTATATGTGCTCTGAAGATTTGAAGACCAATTTATTAGAAATACCTCAAATCTGTCTGAGTATTCATATCCTGAATATTACTGGGAAGAGTTTGTTGCCCATCGTATAAATTCAAGTTAAAAGATCATCCTAGAATCCATTCATTTTTTAAACTTAAGGCAGCTGGCTATGGTAGAAGGAACACCAGCCCTGAGACAAAAGGCTCAGGATGGATGGTCACGTCTATTTGACCTCTCACTCCTCGGAGTTAAATTACCCATGAAATAAGTAAAAAGGTCTAGTCTTTCCTGAGGAGCAGACATTGTTAAATGATAAAATGTATTTCATGGATTCCAAATGCAATACAGCGAAAGCTATTCAGTATACAAATATTTGTTGCGTATCTACTCTGAGTAAGACCCTGGGGGAAACACACAATTCAGATACAATTTATAGTGTCATCCAGTTTGCAGTCTAGTGTAATAGGAAATAGTCAATGAAAACTTAGACTTCATGTTAGAAAGCAATATATCCTAAAAAATCTTTAGCATATACAATCATGTCATCTGCAAACAGGGACAATTCGACTTCCTCTTTTCCTAACTGAATACCCTTTATTTCCTTCTCCTGCCTAATTGCCCTGGCCAGAACTTCCAACACTATGTTGAATGGGAGTGGTGAGAGAGGGCATCCCTGTCTTGTGCCGGTTTTCAAAGGGAATGCTTCCAGTTTTTGCCCATTCAGCATGATATTGGCTGTGGGTTTGTCATAGATAGCTCTTATTATTTTGAGATATGTCCCATCAATACCTAATTTATTGAGAGTTTTTAGCATGAAGGTTGTTGAATTTTGTTAAAGGCCTTTTCTGCATCTATTGAGATAATCATGTGGTTTTTGTCTTTGGTTCTGTTTATATGCTGGATTACATTTATTGATTTGCATATATTGAACCAGCCTTGCATCCCAGGGATGAAGCCCACTTGATCATGGTGGATAAGCTTTTTGATGTGCTGCTGGATTCAGTTTGCCAGTATTTTATTGAGGATTTTTGCATCAATGTTCATCAAGGATATTGGTCTAAAATTTTCTTTTTTGGTTGTGTCTCTGCCAGGCTTTGGTATCAGGATGATGCTGGCCTCATAAAATGAGTTAGGGAGGATTCCCTCTTTTTCTATTGATTGGAATAGTTTCAGAAGGAATGGTATCAGTTCCTCCTTGTACCTCTGGTAGAATTTGGCTGTGAATCCATCTGGTCCTGGACTCTTTTTGGTTGGTAAGCTATTGATTATTGCCACAATTTCAGAGTCTGTTATTGGTCTATTCAGAGAGTCAACTTCTTCCTGGTTTAGTCTTGGGAGAGTGCATGTGTCGAGGAATTTATCCATTTCTTCTAGATTTTCTAGTTTATTTGCGTAGAGGTGTTTGTAGTATTCTCTGATGGTAGTTTGTATTTCTGTGGGATCAGTGGTGATATCCCCTTTATCATTTTTTATTGCGTCTATTTGATTCTTCTCTCTTTTTTTCTTTATTAGTCTTGCTAGTGGTCTATCAATTTTGTTGATCCTTTCAAAAAACCAGCTCCTGGATTCATTAATTTTTTGAAGGGTTTTTTGTGTCTCTATTTCCTTCAGTTCTGCTCTGATTTTGTATGTCTAGAAAACCCCATTGTCTCAGCCCAAAATCTCCTTAAGCTGATAAGCAACTTCAGCAAAGTCTCAGGATACAAAATCAATGTACAAAAATTACAAGCATTCTTATACACCAATAACAGACAAACAGCCAAATCATGAGTGAACTCCCATTCACAATTGCTTCAAAGAGAATAAAATACCTAGGAATCCAACTTACAATGGATGTGAAGGACCTCTTCAGGGAGAACTACAAACCATTGCTCAATGAAATAAAAGAGGATACAAAGAAATGGAAGAACATTCCATGCTCATGGGTAGGAAGAATCAATATCGTGAAAATGGCCATACTGCCCAAGGTAATTTATAGATTCAGTACCATCCCCATCAAGCTACCAATGACTTTCTTCACAGAATTGGAAAAAAACTACTTTAAAGTTCATATGGAACCAAAAAAGAGCCCGCATCGTCAAGTCAATCCTAAGCCAAAAGAACAAAGCTGGAGGCATCACACTACCTGACTTCAAACTATACTACAAGGCTACAGTAACCAAAACAGCATGGTACTGGTACCAAAACAGAGATATAGATCAATGGAACAGAACAGAGCCCTCAGAAATAACGCCACATATCTACAACTATCTGATCTTTGACAAACCTGAGAAAAACAAGCAATGGGGAAAGGATTCCCTATTTAATAAATGGTGCTGGGAAAACTGGCTAGCCATATGTAGAAAGCTGAAACTGGATCCCTTTCTTACACCTTATACAAAAATCAATTCAAGATGGATTAAAGACTTAAACGTTAGACCTAAAACCATAAAAACCCTAGAAGAAAACCTAGGCAATACCATTCAGGACATAGGCATGGGCAAGGACTTCATGTCTAAAACACCAAAAGCAATGGCAACAGAAGCCAAAATTGACAAATGGGATCTAATTAAACTAAAGAGCTTCTGCACAGCAAAAGAAACTACCATCAGAGTGAACAGGCAACCTACAAAATGGGAGAAAATTTTCGCAACTTACTCATCTGACAAAGGGCTAATATCCAGAATCTACAATGAATTCAAACAAATTTACAAGAAAAAAACAAACAACCCCATCAAAAAGTGGGCCAAGGACATGAACAGACACTTCTCACAAGAAGACATTTATGCAGCCAAAAAACACATGAAAAAATGATCACCATCACTGGCTATCAGAGAAATGCAAATCAAAACCACAATGAGATACCATCTCACACCAGTTAGAATGGCAATCATTAAAAAGTCAGGAAACAACAGGTGCTGGAGAGGATGTGGAGAAATAGGAACACTTTTACACGGTTGGTGGGACTGTAAACTAGTTCAACCATTGTGGAAGTCAATGTGGCGATTCCTCAGGGATCTAGAACTAGAAATACCATCTGACCCAGCCATCCCATTACTGGGTATATAACCAAAGGACTAGAAATCATGCTGCTATAAAGACACATGCACACGTATGTTTATTGCAGCACTATTCACAATAGCAAAGACTTGGAACCAATCCAAATGTCCAACAATGATAGACTGGATTAAGAAAATGTGGCCCATATACACCATGGAATACTATGCAGCCATAAAAAATGATGAGTTCATGTTCTTTGTAGGGACATGGATGAAATTGGAAATCATCATTCTCAGTAAACTATCACAAGGACAAAAATCCAAACACTGCATGTTCTCACTCATAGGTGGGAATTGAACAATGGGAACACATGGACACAGGAAGGGGAACATCACACTCTGGGGACTGTTGTGGGGTGGGGGGAAGGGGGAGGGATGACATTAGGAGATATACCTAATGCTAAATGAGGAGTTAATGGGTGCAGCACACCAGCATGGCACATGTATACATATGTAACTAACCTGCACATTGTGCACATGTACCCTAAAACTTAAAGTATTATAATAATAATAATAATAATAAAATCTTTAGCAGCTAGGTAAACTCTGATACTGTAATGTCACATTTAATATGAAAAATTATATGATTTTTAAAAAATTGATCTTATATTTTTACAAGTTAATTTTAATTGTGTAAAATAATATATATCTTTGAAACATTGAAAACATAGTGAAGAGAATAAACCAAAATATTAACAGCTAATGTTTTAGGACAAGCATATAGGTAATTTTATCTTTCTTCCCTATACTCTGTTTTAATGGTATAATAATGTCTCTTTTCTTCTTGCCAACATTTTCTTAGGCATGTGCTCCTGGGAGACACACAGATGAAGAACCCACTGAGTTTAGACAAGTTATTTAGAATTTCCAGCTTCAAAGAACAAAGGGAGGCTTAATGGCTTTTATGCTGTAGTTTGAAGGAAAGGTGAGATTTGCATATGCATAGGTGTTGATAGTTTGAGAATATTTCTACAGGGATTGACAATATAGGTATATACAAAATTCCAAGTCAGTGTTCTATAAAAATTTGTCAAAGAAACCTGTCAAGGGACTCAGATTCCAAACTTGATAGGGAAGGTTCATTTGCATATACTTTTTTTTCTCTCTCTAATGTTTTAGTCATTTTAAGACTTGAGAAACAAAATATTTATTCCCTGCCGTTTCATTCCTGCCTCTGTCTGATCCAGTATAGAACAGCAACCTACAATTTCAGTGGGGAGCAAAATAGGAATTCTTTAGATCAGTAGGCACTGAATACATTTTCCAGAACAGTAGTGGAAATACCTCTCTTTAGACAATAAATTTACTTACCAGGATTTAAATAATATATACTCATTAAGAAACATTGGGACATGACCGGGCCTTTAAAAATCACCTATTGTTTTACTAATTAGATCTTTCTTTGAATACATTTTAATCTTTAGAAATTATGCACTTTCACTCTGTTTTATAGATGAGAAAAGAAACAAGAATGGGTTCACCCCATGGAATGGGTGAACTTAGGCTTCTCTAAGGTGACATGGAAGCTGCAACAGGTTGGCAAGTAGGATAGACATGCCCATTGTTCATTCTAATCCTCTACAAAGCATTGTATGGCATGGTAGGTGCGCAGCGAGTGTTTGATAAGTTAATGCTAAACTGTTTTCATGGTTCCGGAAATGTGGCCCCAGAGAGTTGAAAATAAAACCTTTTAGTCAACTAGAATTTGGGTCTCAATCACTGGTTTCTTAATTTTAATGTATTGTATTTAATTTAAGCTCAGACCTCAATTTCTTTGATATAAAATGGCATAATGATATGAGTCTTAGAGTTGTGAGGAGTCCATAGAATGTGTGTAAATCCACAACAGCAATATCCACATATGGAACTCAGTAAATGGTCCTTTTTTATGCTTGACTGGTCCGCAATTGAGAGTTGAAAATAAGAGCTGTTAGTCAACCAGAATTTGGGTCTCAATCACTGGTTTCTTAATTTTAAGAAATTTAGATTTAGATTGAACTTAATCTAACCTGAAGCCTCAATTTTTTTTTTACCTAAAATGGCAAAATGATACTAGCCTTAAAGTTGTGAGGAGTCCATAGAATGTCTGTAAATCCACAACAGCAATATCCACATATGGAATTCAGTAAACGGTTCTTTTTATTCTTGACTGATCCACCACTTGAGGCACATTCTATCCCTTTTCTTATTGACCTGTAATGCTGACTCTCTGGGATACTACTCCAATTCTGAGCAAAATAGCACATATTTTACGTACAAATGTAGCGTAAAATCATTGTAATGTAAATTAGACCTAAGAATCTATCTGAAATAATTTGAGCACATGTAAGAGTCTCCTGCCAAAAGATCAATAATCAATATTTGAGAAGTATTTTACATTTTACAAAGAATCCAAATGGGTGGAAGTTGATGATAGCTGAGCCAAAATTAAGGTATCACCCACCAGGGAAACTTCAGACCTTGGATAACATCACTCAGCATAATGCAATAACTTTGGGCAAGGTCTGAGGGCATTGCATTAACATCTATAAATTATGCTATAGATAAAATCTGTTAGTTTATTTTTCTGCAATTAGGTAAATTGAAAGTGAATAAAAAACCAATATGATTAGTATTACCAATTCTTTACTAAATAGAATATTGCCAAATGAGTAGATTCAGGCAGAGTCAGGTAGAATGTGAAAGTGATTGGTGATACAGTAGGATGAATAAAATCTATATTTATATGCATATCTGTCATATCTATCCACCTATCTTTCTGTTTATCTAATCTATCTAATCTATCAATTTATACTTAATTTTCCATTCACAAAACATCAGTTAAGGTGGCAATTTCATTCTTGCAGTATTATGTTGCAAAGAAGCTCACTTCCTTTATAGTAGATACCTTTCCTTTTCCTAAAACTGATCTAAAACAGTGGCTGGCTCTCAAACTGTGATGTGCATAAGAATCACTTAAAAAGCTTGTTAAAGCACAGATTTCTAGGACCTCCCCCAGAGTTTTTAACTTAGTAGGTCTAGGGTGGGGCTCAATAATTTGCATTTCTAACAAGTTCCCAAGAGATGATATTGCTGCTGTTCCTGGGACCACTCTCAAGACCCTCTAACCCACTTTTTTCACAAAGATATTTTTCTCATTATTTTTTCCTGTCCTTCTAAATATCTCCCTTCTTTGATGTCATTTTGCACATTACCAATTAAATTTAGCATGGGAATAGCAAAATGGAGTTCAGGAAAGACTATAAAATGGAGAGTAGGTGATATGGTTTGGATTTATGTCCCCACCCAAATTTCACGTCAAATTGGAGGAGGGGCCTGGTGAGAGACGACTGGATCATGGGACGGATTACCTCCTTGCTGCTCTCGTGATTGTGGGTGCGTTCTCATGAGATCCCATGGTCTAAAAGTGTATAACACTTCCCCCTTCTTTCTCTCTCTTGTTCCACCATGGTAAGACGTGCTTGCTTCCCCTTTACCTTCTGCCATAATTGCAAGTTTCCTGAGGCCTCCCAACCATTTTTTTTTAACAACATGTGGACCTGTGAGTCAATTAAACCTCTTTTCTTTATACATTACCCAGTCTCAGGTAGTTCTTTATAACAGTGTGAAAACAGACTAATATAGTAGGTATTTCTTCAGGTTTACCTAATAAATAACTATGTCAAATAGCTATGTCATCATGGGCAAGCCCCTTCCTTTCTCTTCCAGTCAATTTCTTCGTATTTAAATGGGTAGAATGGAAAGGAAACTGATGACTATGTAGTGCTTGCCAATCATTTCAACAAAGAAGCAGAAACTCAGAATTTATTTAAATTATTCATGACTTTACAGCCGGTAAATAACATGCTAGATTCAAACTCAGAACTGGCCGGTTCCCAAGTTTTAACCCCTCCCACATTCTTCTCCAGCTTATTACCATAGGGAATAGAGTTGGATGACTGTATGTGTAACTACCACCTTTGAATTTTGTGGTTTTAATTAATTATTACACATGGTCAGTCTCATCTACCAAAGTTGAAGGAATGTTTCCTGAAGACTTTTAACGATTTTAAAGTAAATGTTAATAATTTATTCCCTGCTCTAAGTCCCTACCATGTGCTAGTTATCATAGAAGATATATTTTAATTTAATTTAATCCTTACCCCACAGATGGGACTTTCTGGATGAAAGCAGCTTCTTCCAGTTCATTCTCTCATCCATTACTCTATTTTATTCCCCAACTTGTACCTGCCACTATCTCCAGTTATGCTACTAATTTATTGTTTATCTATCTATTTTCTGTCTCTCTGACTTTAATAGAAGCTTAATGAGAGCAAGAATTTTATCTGCATGTTTAATCTTATCTTCACCCACTAGCATATTTTTCCTCGAACATAGAAATAGACTAGTAAGTATTTGTCAAATAAATAAATAAAAAGTAAGTTTTATTCTACCTGTATGACTACTTGGGCTAACAGAGTGAAGATGTTACCTTAAAGAAGTGGTATATCAATTCAGAGTTTTGTTTTGTTTTGTTTTGTTTTTTGCCATTTGACCTCAAAAGGCCATGAGAGCAGGCTATATGATTTCTCAGAGTCAATAAAGCAAAGCTTGCACCCAAAAGCACTATTCGTAATGATACTCTACACCTTCTTTACTCTCCATGAGCACCCAAATTCCAACTACCGTATTTCCATGATGTAAACTTACTCATGAACTTTTTCTACACATGATTAAATATCTCATAATATTTCAAGGAAATTTGACTAAAGACACAGGTGCTAATATCAGATTCCTACTAAAGTTAGGCAGTACTTTCCTTTCTGAGAAGTTTTTGAACTTGTTATCATTGTTTAATCTCCAGGCTTCAACTAACTGGGGTACAAAGAAAAGGCCTTTGGTATCAGAAGATTTGGTGTTAAACACAGTTATTCTCCTTACCAGCTTTGAGAAGTTGTATAATGTGGGGTTTAGAAACCTGAATCTCATCTCTGTTACCATCTGCATGATCTTAGCCCATCCAGTTAACCTGTATGTTCCTTGGTTTCTTTATCTATAAAATTCTAATAATAATATGTCCCTCATCATATGTTCCAACAGTTGAATGAGAAGATGAAAATCGAGTTTTAACACAATCTGTACTTGGTATGTGAAAGTTTAGCTATACATTTTATTTATTAGAATAAGACATACCATATCGTTACTGTTCCTTCTTTTATTCATCTTATTTCATTTTATTTAATTATTTTTCCAAGAAATAATAGTAATAAAATCTTTCAACAATCTTTATTGCATAGGTGTAGAAAATAAAAGCACAGAGAAATTAATAGTTTCTTTGACGAACATGATAATAAATCCAGGATTGCAATTCAGGTCTTTATATCCTATCTCTCTAGGAAGATACACGTTTCCTTCATTTTATTTCATACGGCTTTTTTGTTACTGCTATCGTTCTTTGTAAACACATTCTGTCATCAAATATGTTGAGTCTGTGACTTGGTAAAACCTGATAAAGCTCCCCAAAAGCTCTTGATTTTACCTGGCTTTCTTTAATTAGACTGCACAGAACAATACTGGCTAACGTTATCCCTCTTGGGTTGCAATTAACTTAATCTGAAGTATATTTCAGCCGTTAGTGGGCTTTTGATCTGAGAGTGTTATTTTGTTCAGCCTATCTAAATACTCATTGATCTGACAGGTAATGAGCGACATTTATAATGGAGGTCATTCCCTTCTATTAATTTTAACTGCTTTACAGCTTTTGATAAAGTGGGCAAGAGTGGATGCTTATCTATTTTGTATCTAAAAAAAAGTGCCTTCGTGAGGACAATGTGCTATTTGGAGAAACCACTTTATTTTCACATAAGTAAACATGTTTTCAGAATAAATCCTCTTGACATTGTAATATTTTTGGCATCCATTGCTCTTTCTTTATAATATGAAAAATAGCATACTAGACATTGTGAATTCACGCACCCAGCTGTTTACTTTCAGCGAGGACCCGAGAATTTCCCATACAGTCAGGAAATATTTATTAGCCATGTATGATATGCCAGGTACTATGGTAGATTTAGGGTGTGTTTTCTCAACCTTAGCACTATTAGAATTTTGGGCCAAGTAGTTCTTGGTTATGGGTGGTTGTCCCGTCCATTGTAGAATGTCTATCATCATCCATGATCTTTACCCACTAAATGGGTAATGGCAGTTTCACCCTATCCTCCAGTTGTGACAATCAAAAATGTCTGCAAACATTGTCACATGTCCCCAGGGGGACAAAATTATCCCCAGGTGGGAACCATTGACTTCAGATATACAGGGATTAATTAGACAATTCTTGCACTACACATACGTTTACCTAGGAATACATATAATTAGAAACATTTTATGTGTAATTTTCTATGCCCATATCTGTATGAGAATAGAGGATAACCTTATATTTACAGCATTATTTGTAACAGCATGAGCACTAACAAAAAGAAAAAAATAATTTCAACTTTCTAAAAGAAGGAAAGAAAACAATATCTCAAACATTCAGTATGTGCTCGACAACATATTTGACATTCTCACGTGTGTTAACACATTTAATTTTCATAAGCACCCTAACATTGATGAATTATTTTCTCTATTTTATAATTAAGATAAACATGGCTCACCATTATTATTAATAATAAGGTGTCGGGCCAGGCACGGTGGCTCACCCTGTAATCCCAGCACGTTGGGAGGCCAAGATGGGCAGATCACAAGGTCAGGAGTTCAAGACCACCCTGGTCGACATGATGAAACCGCGTTTCTACTAAAAATACAAAAATTACTCAGGCATGGTGTCTCACCAGGTAATCCCAGCTACTCAGGAGGCTGAGGCAGGAGAATTGCTTGAATTTGGGAGGCAGAGGTTGCAGCGAGCCAAGATCGCGCCATTGCACTTCAGCCTGGGTGACACAGAGAGACTCCATCTCAAATAAATAAATAAATAAATAAATAAAAAGGTGTCTGAGGAAACCCAACATGCTGGTATCAGAGCTTGAATTCTAATTCACATCTGTGTAATTACAAACATTTTGCTTTTTACACTAAATCACAAAAAAATTTTTTACACTAAATCACAAAAGAAGTTTAAGAGGCCATTGACGCAATCAGTTAAAACGTAAACAATTTGGAAAATCTATGAGAAAAATGGATTGTTATTAGTTAAAAAAACTATGCAAAATTATGTTTACTATACTCAAAATCAAACACATTGATGCCTATATGGATACCAAGTGTGTGTGGAAAACATAAACTTTGGATAGTTTAGGCAAACTAAATTAGTCATTTTTTTGGTGGTGGGAATATGAGGTTATATTGCTATGAAGAATTATTAAATATGCAGCTATTAAAGATTGATATAAAATACATCAGGTTAATCATGTATATGTTGTCTAAATGTGCAGATCCTATATAAGAGAACATTTTTAAAGTCAGAGATTTCCTCTATTTTGAAAAAAAGATAGCATACTGCATTATAATAGCTCTTTTTCTCTAAGAATATAAAGTACTTTGCTGCCCTTGAAGAATATGAAGGGCTCCTGGGACTAGGAGAATAGTGGTGGGAAAACAGCCAAATTGCTGCCACCCTCTGAGAGTGTGTGAGTGGGACATGAGGACTGATTCACACAGTACTCAGGAGAGGGAGACAGCACCCTGAGAAGTTTGAAGAAAGAGATGCTCTGTAAAATTGTCACAGCCAGAAGCACAAGTACACATGAGTGTGATCTAGCTAGGACTTGGATTTCAATGTGTACAGTTGTTTTCTGACTCCTTTAAAATGCCAGGCATTTTTTTATAAGAAAATATTTACTTGTTACTATTGGGTTGTTTTGAAGAAACACAGATTCCAAACTACAGGGAGCCTTATCCAGTAATTCAGAAACTTCAGTCTTTTGCTACAGACAAGGACATGGACACCAGGAAAGAGAAACATTGTGCCAAAATTCACTGAAAAATGTGGAAGGGGAAAGCATATTTAAGCAACATGAAACATAATTTTTGTAGGAAATATTTCCCTCATGCAGTGGGTGGATATTTGATTTGCTATTTCAGCTCTTTGTTTTGTTTCTTTTAATATAAATATTTATTTTCCACTACTTGTGCTGTTCTTCAGAAATTTCTGGGGAAATAAAAGTGAATACATAGTTTTAAAGCTCACAGCCCCCACTGGTGTAGGGCTAATAGCTATGGGGAAGTGAAGAAGTGGCTCTGGGAAGCCTGGAAGGAACTTAACATGGAAGGCTTCCTGGAAGACGTAACACTTCCCCTAAGAGTTTACTGATAGGAAGACTTAACCCACCAGACAGCAGAAAACAGATAGATATTCCAGGCAGAAGAATTAAAGGATAAAATATTAGGCTGAACTCAGAGTAGCAAATAGTTCAATATTTAGGAAGGAAACACTCTCTCGGGTCAGAGAGGGTAAGCATAGACAGGCTGTCAGAAACCTGGCCAAACAGGAGGAACTTTTAGGTCAAGTATTATTCAACAAACACAAGGCTAAGCACTTTTTATAAATTCTTTTTATTTCCCACAGTAATATACCAGGTGGAGAGTTCTATCTCCACGTTAAAGGTGAGAAAACTGAAACCTAAGATCTAAAGTGACTTGCTCAAGGTTCTGAAGTGTCAAAGCAACTCAAACCTATACAGTCCAATATGATTTCTAAATGGCTTCTGACCCTGAAAGGAACCGGGACACGTTGAGACGAAAACCTGTCCCACCTCACCCCAACAGCCCCTGAGGGTTATCTGAATTCCTTGGCACTGTTAGTTTTGGTCATTTGACCTCAGCTCATAAGAACTTCAGGAAAACAGTCAGGTCCAAAGGAGAGAGAAGTATCTGAACAACGCTAACTTCAAAGAAAGAAGAGAAGAATATTTTGGGGATCAGCCTGCTATTGAGATCTTTAATATTAGAAAATATCTGTGTGGCTGGCAAATGTTGGACAATTACCTAATGAAGTTGTGCTGTGTCTGTAATAATCCCATCATACCAGTCTGATTCTAATGGCTATGTGTATCCAGGTTTTTCACTTGTCTTTGGTTTTCCCATCTTGTGAATTCTAAAACAAATATCTGGCCATGAGAAGACTTGCATCAAATTCTTCCATTTCTCCCAGGGACTACAGGATATGGTGCAGAAGCTACTGCATGGCTCACAAAGCCCTCCACAATCTAGGTCCCACCTGGCCTTTGATCTCCATCTCCTGTCTTTTGCCCTCTCCACTATATATATATTTATATATATATATTTATATATATATTTATATATATTTATATATATATTTATATATATATTTATATATATTTATATATATATTTATATATATATTTATATATATATTTATATATTTATATATATATATTTTTATATATTTATATATATATTTATATATTTATATATATTTATATTTATATATATATTTATATATATTTATATATATTTATATATATATATTTATATATATTTATATATATATATTTATATATATTTATATATATTTATATATATATTTATATATATATTTATATATATATTCATATATATTTATATATATATTCATATATATTTATATATATATTCATATATATTTATATATATATTTATATATATATTTATATATATTTATATATATTTATATATATATTTATATATATATTTATATATATATATTTATATATATATTTATATATATATATTTATATATATATTTATATATATATATTTATATATATATTTATATATATATATTTATATATATATTCATATATATATTTATATATATATATAAAGCATCTCTTTCTTCAGACTTGTCAGGGTGCTGTCTCTCTCTCCTGAGTACTGTGTGAATCGGTCCTCATGTCCCACTCACACACTCTCACAGGGTGGAAGAAATTTGGCTACTTTCCCACCACTATTCTCCTAGTCACAGAAGCCCTTCATATTCTTCAAGGTCAACAAAGTACTTTACATTCTCAGAGAATATAAATATATATATATATATATAAATATATAGCTATGGGGAAGTGAAGACTGGTGGGTTAAGTCTTCCTATCAGTAAACTCTTAGGGGAAGTGTTACGTCTTCCAGGAAGCCTTCCATGTTAAGTTCCTTCCAGGCTTCCCAGAGCCATTTATTAAATATATAATATATTATATTATATATAATATATTATATATTATATTATATATATCATATATATTATATTGTATATTATATATTATAAATATTATATATATTATATATTTAATATATATTATATATATAATATATATTATATATATTATATATATAATATATATTATATATATATTATATATATATATATAAAATTATCCGTAGCTTCCCCAGTAGGAAGCATTCCGTCAAATCTCTTTTTCTCCACAAACATTTCCTCTGACTGGGAAGTCCTGTTTTCTGTTTGTTTGCTTGGGAAGTCCCCACCCATCTTTGAAGTTCCAAGCTAAACTCTCTGCCTATTAGGAAAGCTTCCCTGCTTATCTCCTAAGTAACAATTAAGTGAATCCCTTTCCTGCTCTCTTCCTTGCAAATATCTCCATTAGCACAAAAATTGTATGTTGAAATCATTTGTTGTTTGTTTCTATACTAGGCTATGTAAGCCTATGTTTTGTTTTATTATTTTCATCTTTAAATATTCAGCAACAATGCAAAGAGTGACTCATGACACATGTTTGTGATTGTTAATTGTATGGTCAACTTGACTGGGACACAGTACTAGCTTTTTCCCAAACATATTTTTAGATGTTTCTTTGTATGTATTTTAGAGATAAGGTTAAGATTTAAATCAGTAGACTTTGAGAAAAGCAGATTTTCTTACAAAATGTGGGCCAGTTTCGTCCAATCAATTGAAGAAAAAAAATAGATGGATCTGCCCAAAGAAGAAATAATTCTGCCAACAGACTGCAGTGGACTCAAACTGCAATATCAGCTAACCATTGGTCTCCAGCCTGATGGCCTATTGCCTATCTATCTTATAAATTTTGAACTTGTCAGTCTCCACAATTGCTTAAGCCAATAATTTAAAATCTTAATCTTAATCTCACACACACAGACACAGACACACTCATCCTGTTGGTTCTTTTTCTCTGAATAACCGTGATTAATACAATGCTAAATTAATATATTTTTTTAAATGATAGATTTTTTTCCTTTGGCTGTCCTTCTTTTGTCCATATATAAAGTCTATGTATAACTAAGTAAGCGTCACAAGTTACACTCATAGAAGTGCTGATGGTTAGTATAGGGTACTTTTTATTAGGAATTACTTTTTCAAAGAAAGCAATTAACCCCCTAATGACACCCCAACCCCTGCCCTCCCTAGGAACACCTCTATTTTTATACATTTCGATCCCTCTATTAATTATGATGTAAATCCCAGCTTAGAGTCAGAAGACCTGGGTTCTTGTTTAAGTTCTGCCATTCAGTAACTGGAAGACCTTGGGCAAAATCCATCAACCTCTTTGGCTCTCAGCGGTAAAGTGAGGAAGCAGCTCATCTGTAATTTATGTGCTGTGGGGAATTGACATCTCTTACAGCTATGAAAGAGCAAATTTAAGTGGAAGAAAGGCATGATTTAGATTCAAAAACATAGTTTGAATTCAGGGTTGTTAATTTATCGGTCATGTGTCTCTAATCAGTTTTTTACCTATTACTTTTCTCATCTATAAAAAAACATTTATTTATAAATTCTTTAGCCTCACTGTTTTATTTTGCCAATAAAGTGTGGTTCTGCAGGCAGCTTGGCCTGGGATAATCACAAACACATCTGAACCACTCTTGAGTCACTTCACATTCATGAGGGATACCTCATATCACTATCTAGAAAATGTCATGACAACTCTGTGCAAGAAATGTGGGTTGTTTTCCAAGTCTGTGCTAAGCAGGAAATGAGTCTTTTTACGAAAGAGTTCAAAGTATTCCTCACATCATCTTAAGAGTGAAGGGCTCTCACAGAGTACATACACCAAGAGCAGGCATATATGCACGTAACACATCCAGGTGGGTGACACAGAGAGGTGCTGCCCTTCACAGGCTGGCCCACACACTGAAGGCTTATTTGGATGATGACCATCACATCCTAGAAATCATTTGATAGAACGTTGCCCTTCAGGACAATTCTTTCAGAAGTTGTGAAATCCAAGATTTTCTCTGATTGTGATAGGCTTGAACAAGATGGACAGCTGGGCACCCACAGGGACTCTTTGGACTAAACAGAGACATCTGACCAGGTGCTTCAAGAGAGCAATTCAGAGGAAAGTCTGAGGAGTCATTCTTACCCGCTACAAATCCTTAATGTTTATTTTTATATGCATGTGTATGTTTAATTGTATTTTTTTTTTCAAGAAGAGGTTTCAGTCATTGTCAACACATTTATTTTTCATCATCACAAAATACTGAGTCTAAGGTTCTCTTAGATTGTTGAGGCTAAATTGATGGATCACATGGCACCACCTGATTATACAAGCCAGGATTCTAGTGATCAGGGTCCAGAGCAGTTCTCATATAAAATGCTGCCTGCACCAGGTATATGTATTATTATTATTATTATTATTATTATTATTATTATATTGCAGTTCTCACATACAATGCTGCCTGCACCAGGTATAGGTATATTACTGTTATTACTATTACATTTTTGAGGGAGAGAATGTGCTATATGCCCCCTTAGCCAATTACAAAGAATAGATCTTTTCAAAGCAAAAGTTGAACTGGACATAGTTCAACACGTAAGGAAGAGACTCCAGAATTCAGTCTGAGCTCACCTCTGCTGAAACAAAAGGCGGGAGCGTTTTAAGAGCTTGGATTGGAGGATACAGACCATCTACCCTTGCTAATTGTCCTTACTAAAAGGAAAAGAAGTGAACTTTCTCAAGTCTTTGTGAAAGGAGGTGATTATCCAACTTGAAACAAGGTGCCAGCTGAAGTTAGGTTCCTACGCTGCCATAGGAAGAGGAGATAGGGGTGTTATGTTATCTTCCTTGACAGTTGCATTTCAAAGGTAAGGCTCCTAGGTCCTTGAGAAAGGCAGTGCTGAATTGTAAAACTGGGAAGAGGCTTTTAAAAAAAAGATTTACATCTCAAAGGGGCAGAGAAGGAATTTGCAATTACAGGTTTTCTAAAGTAAATGCTCTAAGGAAAGAAAGGTTAGGGCTTACAATCCTGTCTGAAGTTTAGTCCAAGCTGAGGGAAAACATTAAGGCCTTCTTGGTCAATGTCAAGAACACAGAACATCTTCAGTACATTTTAGCTCTTATAATTAGTGTAATCATCATGATTTGTACATCAAGCTTTTAAATTTGGAATTTGGCTTTATACAGTTTCTCAAAGAAAAATTTTTTTACTATTTAAAATATTTATTTTTCTTCTGCTTCATAAAAGAAATGCTTTTTTCCTCTTGAGGTCCGTGATTCATTATACTGTCTTCTTTCTCACGTAAAAAAGGAACTTTTTCACTGCACTTTACACTTGAAAGGAATTCAACATTAAAGTTTAAAACTTTCCTTCACATCAGGCTTATTTGCTCTAATTAAAACAAGATTAGCTGACATTCACAAGTCATTTACAAAATGTATAACTGCATTCTGAGAACACATCTAATTACAAAGACAACATGGGAAATTGCAAGAAGGTTTTGAAATTTACCCTAATATTTTCTTTACACCATTGTTCTCAAAACTTCATTAATAAATTGTTCTTAACACTTTCTCTGTGAATTAGAATCTAGAGTTTGCCTTCCATTTTGTCTTTTAAATTCAGCAACAGAGATTCCTAGAAAACACATAACAGAATTAAAATAGAAGCACTGGGATAGAGAACCAGAACTCTGAGCTAGTGTTTTGTGCCAGATGCTTTCACATACATGATTTTATTTAATTCACATGGCAATGTAGTTGAGTAACTGTGCTATTCTCATTTCACAGATGAGGAAGTTAAGGCTCAATGATATTAAATAACCTAACCAAATTCACTGATCTAGTGAATGAACAAAGAATTAAATTCCTGCCTCTGGGCTGTGGCTGTAACTTTCATGTATTTATCCTTGTCAATAAAAGATAGGCTTGGAAGGGTGCTTTGTGATTAATTTTGGAAAATCATATTTAATACATTTCTACTTGACATAGACAATAGTTAAAAAATGGACCATAAAATTCCACATAAAAATCAAAATAAATATCTCCTCATCTGATGGGTCAGGAATCTCACTGAAAAAGGTAATATAATCTTTGTTTGTGGGAGTTAGGAGGTATTTACATTTCTGTAAAGGAAACAGATGACAAAATATAGAAAGACCATTTCCTAGGCCCTGAAATTGTTTGCCATTCCATTTTGAAACAAGTAGTATAATTCTAAAACAAACAAACAAACAAACATCAAGATCACCATGAAGTAACCAAGTAAAGGATGCTACAGTATTGGATTAGACAATAGGCAATTTGGGACTCAGTTGGGGGAAAGTTCACATCTTGGAGAAATGGAGGGAGAAGAGATTCAACAGTAGGAATTTGTAAAGTCTCAGGCTCCCATACCATGTGAGGAAGAGGGAGGACTCAGGAAGAGTGTAGGCCTTTCCTAGAACACACTAGACCAAAGAGAAGCTCAGCTGTCCTTTTTGTAATGTTGTGTCCGTTAATTTTTGTATTATTTTTTAATCTTTTTAATTAAGTCATCTGCCAGTTATTCAGTGTTTGTTTAAACTTGAATAACTCATTACTCTTCTGTGAAAAGTTTTCTCCTTCAAAAACAAAGGGGCCCAAACCAGATGAATTCCAAGGTATCGTCAGCCAGCCCACTACGTCATGAAAAACATCTTCAAAAACAGGAAGATTAGTAAACAAAAGAGGTTGATGAGTACACTGGCTGGATTTCAAAGTCATGTCATCCAGTGGGCATTCTTTCTGAGAAGTTGTCTTTGATCACCTACATCGTCCAATGCTCACTGCCATATATATATATATATATATATATATATATATATATATATATATATATATATATATATTTGCTGTCTTAAGCACATGTGGCTGATTATTCCTCAAATTCTCAGTCCCTCAGTCCCAATCTTGGAACATGTGAATGTGTTATGTTACATGGCAAGAGGGACTTTGCAGATGTAACTAAGGTGACAGACCTTAAAATAAGATAACCCTAGCTTATCTAGGCACACCTGATCTAATTACATGAGCCACTTAAAGTATATTTTCTCAGGCTGCCTGGAGAAAGACGCTGCAAAAGAGAATGGCAAGAGAGATGATAGAGGAAAGGAAGTCAGAGGGATTTCAAGCATGTAGTGGGTTGGACAAACTGTTACTGCTTTGAGATTTAGGGTCACTGTATAAAGATCAGAGAGAAGCCTATTGGAGCTAATGCACAATATGAGAAGAAATGCATGCAGTTTTTAGAAGCAAAGAGGGATTTCTGGTTGACAGCCAGTGAGAAAACTCTGTCCTACAAATGCCAACAATCTGAATGATCTTAGAAGCAGGTTATTCCCCCAGAGCCTCCCATTAGTAACAAGTTCTGCTAACACCTTGATTTTAACCTGGTAAGCCCCTGGTAGTGTTTTGTGCCAGATGATTTCACATACATGATTTTATTTAACTCACATGGCAATGTAGTTGAGCAACTGTGTTATTCTCATTTCACAGATGAGGAAGTTAAGGCTCAATGATTTAGGTGATGGATTCTTGTTGGATTTTACTATAAATTCAAGGCACTAAATGCCATCTTGTGCATATTTGAATTTCAACTTGCAGAATTGTCATATAATAAACTTGTGTTGTTTTAAACAACTGAATTTGTGGAGATTTGTTACGGCAACAATAGAAAACAAATACATCAGATTCCCAAATCCATCTGTACAAAAATTCACTGGTTAGAGAAAAGGGAGCACTTCTGGTGTAAGTGTAAATTAGTTCAACCATTGTGGAAAGCAGTGTGACGATTCTTCATACAGCTAAAGACAAAAATACCGTGCCACTCAACAATCCATTACTGGGTATGTACCCAAAGGAATATAAATTGTGCTACCATAAAGACATATGCACATGTGTGTTCATTGCAGCACTAGTCACTATGGCAAAGACATGGAATCAATCTAAATGCATATTAATGGTAGAATGGATAAAGAAAATGTGGTACACAAACACCATGGTATACTATGCAGCCATAAAAAAGAATGAGATCACATCTTTTTCAGGAAAATGAATGGAGATGGTGGCCATTATCCTTAGCAAACTAACACATGAACGGAAAACTAAATACTGCATGTTCTTATTTATAAATGAGAGCTAAATGATGAGAACATATGGACACAGAAAGGGGAACAACAGACACTGAGGCCTACTGGAGGGTGGAAGGTGGGAGGTGGGAGACAATCGGAAAAAATAACTGCTGGGTACTAAGTTTAGTACCCAGGTGACAATCTGTACAATTCCCCATGATATGAGATTACCTATATAATAAACCGGCACATGTACTCCTGTACCTAATAAAGAAATTTTAAAAACTCACTGGTTAATTCAAAATATTTTAATGGTTTCTGAATTTGTATATAATACAATAGCTGTGTTAGGCAAAGCTTCTTATCTTCATTTTATCTCTTCTGTTAAATTGCAACTTCCTTGAAGACAGAGACTCAGGATGATTTACTATCATTGGTATAATCTGTGAGTCAGGTAAAGATTTTCTGAATTCTAGCTCCATCACTTGAGTTTTTTTCGACTATGAAAGTTGATTTGGACTCCTACTCCCTGTGTATATAAAAATGGGTGCAATTGTGAATATTTCATCTTCAAAATGAAGATTAAATGATAGAATGCATGTGAAGCACCTATTAGTGGAATGATTGTTGTATCTGGTACATCGTGTTTCTTTGTGACTATATTCTGTTACGTGAACCAGCACCCCTGGCTTCTGAAACTAGTGCAGCCTCAATGGGCATATGGTAAGCTAAGATTTTAAAATAGCAACCACGATAATTTTTCATCATCTAATTTTTGAAAGTGATTGTTTAGAACAGACCGCACTTGCTCTACTTCCAGATTCTGACACTAACAAATTGTTTCCTGAATAATTGAAAAGTGATTCTTCACCGAATTGCCCATTAACTGTGCTATTTTCTTTAGACTGCTCACAAAATAAATAAGGCTGGAGTTTGAGAGAGAGTGATAATAAATTTTGTCACTCTCTTAGGCTTTAAGTGATGGATTCTTGTTGGATTTTACTATAAATTCAAGGCACTAAATGCCATCTTGTGCATTTTATTTGACCTTGTGTTAATACAGATTGAAAGCAACCAATATCAAGATGTCTCTTCCCCAAAATAAAAGGAGAGATATAAAATAAAAAATAACTGGGTTAAAAAGTAGAACTGAGTAATCTTATGAAATAAATATTTCATTCAAGATTTTAGGTAAAGGGAAATCTGAGAGAATATCTATTTCCTGCTATGTAATAAATACATAGAATATACAAAAAGAGATAGATAGATTTCCCTGAGCAGACTTGGAGTAATTATTGTGTGCATGCCTAATTACTAAGGTAAAGGGAAAATTTTAACTTGAGTGTGAAATTTTAAAGACAAATAATTCTCCGAACTACTAGGACTATTTTTAATATTTTCCAAAATTTTATAAACTCAGCAACTAGATTAAATGAAGTCAATATTACAACACTTCCTCTGAAATAGGCATGTTTAACTCAAGAATAATTTTGATGTGTTTAATATTTGGCTAGTTCTTGCGTTTTGTATTTTTTATTATTTTAATTTTTACTTTTTAGTGTATTTATTACATTTTTCTTTGTACTAGATAGAAAATTGTACACTCATATCTGGTATTTCAGTGCTTAGCACAAATATTCTAACATTTGCATGTGTTCACATAATACTTACATAATAAATAATAATACCTAAACTAATCAATATTATAAATCCTCTGCATTTCAATTTAAGGAATTTAAGCATCTTTAATTTCAATTACCCATTTGTAACTGATATTATTTATTAATAGTAGTACTATTTATTTTTGGAATCTTTTCAACTCTTTCTTGAATTAAATCCTTTAGGAGTTATTTTATGAGTGTTTATTGATAAAATATTCTCTTAACCTTGTTTTTGTTTTTGTTTTAATTAAGAGACAAGGTCTCAATCTGATGCCCAGGCTGGAGTGCAGTGGCACAACCATAGCTCACTGCAGCCTCAAACTCCTGGCTCAAGCAATCTTCCCACCTGAGCTTCCTGAGTAGCTAGGACTAAAGGTGCACCCTGTCATTCCTCATCTAATATGTTTTACATACGTATTTTATTTTTTGTAGAGACAGGGTCTCTTTTGTCCAGACTGGTCTCAAACTCTTGGCTTCAAGCGATTCTCCTGTCTCAGCTTCCTAAAGGTCTGGGATTACAGGTGTGAGCCATAGCACCCGGCCTCTCTTAAGTTTTATATTTTTTGGACATTGATTTGTTTTTACCATCATGCAGTATGGAATTTTAGGATGATACATTTTTGATCATCCCTTTGAACATATTATACCAGTGTAAGCTGTTTTATATTGTTAATTATGAGACCTATTCTGTCAGTCTTATTATTGTTTTTTTGGTAGCTAGCTTATTGTTCTTTATCTGTATTTTAAAAATCTATTTGCTTTGGTACTTCGCATTTTTTATTATTAAGCATTCAGGGATCTTTGTTTACGAATTATGTAATTTGTGGGTCCTTGAAATTTTAGAATCTGAAGATATATGTTATCTATTAATGCTAGAAAATATTGTGTCAATATATCTTTAAATATTTTTCAATCCAATTTTTCTGCACTGTTCATTTATTATTTTATTTAGATATTTAATGACAACTCATTCTATTAATTGTGCTGCCTTTCCTTATTATTAATCTCTTTTCCCTCTATTTTTTATTCTGAGTAATTTTATTATATTTATGTCAATGATTAAATACATATATACACACACACACATACTCATACATACACAAGTATATATATATATATTTTTTCTTAGAGTGTTACTTGCTACCTTAATATTTATTTACCAGTCTCTCTGATCTTTCTTGGTGGACTCTCATTCCTTGGTTTTACATTTTAATACTCTATTTTATTTCATTAAATAATAGCAACCTAATAAATTTTAATATTTTATTTAGTAATTCCCATATCTGCTATATGGGTGGGCCTACCTGTCATTTTATGGAGGTTTTTATTGTACTGTTCATCCATTTATAGTTCATAATTCTTGGAGATTTACTTGCCAGAATCCTTCAACATGAGTTTAGCTAGATTCTGCTAGAAGATTATTCTTAAGTGTAATTAATTCCAAGCAGATTTTATACATTCTGGTCTCAAACACATGTGAGAGTCAGTTGGCTATTTAGAATTATCATGGGAGAATTTTTCTTCGTGTTCTATTTTCTTCATGATTACTACATGATTTCTTTCTGAATATTTATAACTATGAAGAAATGCACACACCAATGAAATTTTAACAAATTCACTTACTCGTCATTTAACTTTAGATGGGTATAACATTAAGCTGCACTTATCCATTGAGTCCTTGTATATCCAATAAATAGGTTGGTGCAAAATTTATTGCCGTTTTTGCCAAAACGGCAATAAATTTTGCACCAACATAATAGAAACTAGAACATTCTTATATAGGATCATGGTGAGAAATAAGTGGAATAAAATATTTCATATTAAAGTATAATGTATGGAAACAATTAGATAACACCCACTAGCAAAAAATAAAAAATTACTTGGATTTATACCTGACATATTACACAGAATCAAATCCAAAAGATTTTTTATTCAATTTTAAAAAACAAGATAATTAACTTTTGAAAATACCATGAAGAATATCTTTATAACTTGGTGTAAGTAAAATTTTTATATAGAACATAGAAAGCACTAACAATAAAGGAAAATATGGGTAAATTGGAATATATTAAAACGATATTTTTTCACAAAAATGAGAATGAACAGGAAATCCAGTAAGGAAAATATTTGCAAAATATTTATTACATATATATGTATATATAGTTATATATACATTTGTGTGAGTACATATATCTATATATATAGTTCAAAAACATAATAAAACTAATTTCTGGTGTTACAGGTCAGGATAGTGCTAGTTTGGGGAACAAGAGGTAATGACAAAAAGGCACAAGGGGCTCATGGGTACAGGTAATGTCCTAGTCCTTGACCTTGGTACTGGCCATTCCACATTGCTCACCTGGTGAAGAGCCATTGAACTTCATTTGCGATGTGTGCGTAAGTCTCTATTTGTGTTATATTTTAATTACATTTTCTTAAAGCAAATATTTCTTGACATCTCTAAATAGGAATATATCTCATTGATAAATTAGAATACATTAAAATGATAATCTTTAGTTTATAAAAATAAGAATAATGAAAAGGCAGTCCTGTATAGATAATATTTGCAAAAAGTATATTACATATATATTTCATACAAATTTATATAAAGTTATGTACATACAAAAATATATAAATAATCCATATACATAAAACACAGAAAACCCAATAGTAAAATGAGGAAAAATATTGAGCCTGGTTTTGGAAAAGTGATATTGGAAATTAGTGACAACTGGAAATTTTATATTTTCTGTGCAGACGACACCAATCGGCTTCTGTCTAAAGCTCTGTTGCATCATTATCAGTCCTTACATTTTATTTTTCTCATAGAGATGAAGACATTTTTATTTTGATGGAATATCTTTCTATTTTAAAACTCCAACAAAACTCAAGCAAGTATAAAAACTATGCAGGCCATTTCTTCTAGATTTTCTAGTTTATACGCATAAGGTGTTTATAGTATTCTCTGATGGTTGTTTGTAAATTCCTGGACACATACACCTTCCCAAGACTTAACCAGGAAGAAATTGAATCTCCAAATGGACCAATAATGAGTTAGGAAACTGAGGTAATAATGAATAGCCTACCAACTGAAAAAAAGCCCAGGACTAGATAGATGTACAGCTCAATTCTACCAGAGGTATGAAGAAGAGCTGTTACCATTTCTACTGAAACTGCTCCAAAAAATGGAAAAGGAAGATCTCTTTGCTAACTCACTGTATTAGGCCAGCATCGCCCTGATACCAAAACCTGGCAGACATACAACAAAAAGAAAACTTCAGGCCAATATCCCCAATGAACTTCAGTGCAGAAATCCTCAATAAAATACCGGCAAACCGAATCCAGCAGCACATCAAAAAGCTTATCCGTCATGATTGAGTTGGCTTCATCCCCAGGATGCAAGGTTGGTTCAACATATGCAAATCAATAAACGCAAGTCATCACATAAACAGAACTAAAGATAAAAACCACATAATTATCTCAATAGATGTAGAAAATGCCTTGGATAAAATTCAACATTGCCTCATGTTAAAAACTCTCAGTAAACTAGGTACTGGAGGAACATACCTCAAAATAGTAAGAGCCATGTATGACAAACCCACAGCCAATATCATACTGAATGGGCAAAAGCTGGAAGGAGTCCCTTTGAAAACTGACACAAGACAAGGATGCCCTCTCTCAGCACTCCTGCTCAACACAATATTGCAACTTCTGGCCAGGGCAATCAGACAAGATAAATAAATAAAGGATATTCAAATACAGAGAAAGGAAGACAAAATATCTTTGTTAGCAGGTGACATGATCCTGTATCTAGAAAACCCCATTGTCTCAGCCCAAAAGCTTCTTAAGCTAATAAGCAACTTCAGCAGTCTCAGGATACAAAATCAATGTGCAAAAATCTCCAGCATTTCTATACACCAACAACAGGCAGGCAGAGAGCCAAATCATGAATGAGCTCCCATTGCTACAAAAAGAATAAAATACTTAAAAATATGGCCAACAAGGGAAGTGAAGAAACTCTTCAAAGAGAATTACAAGCTACTGCTCAAGGAAGTCAGAGAGGACACAAAAAATGGAAAAATATTCCATGCTCATGGATAGGAAGCATCAATATTGTGGAAATGGCCATACTACCCAAAGTAATTTATAGATTCATTGCTTTTTCCATTAAACTACCATTGACATTTTTGCAGAACTAGAAGAAATTATTTTAAAATTCATATGGAACCCAAAAAGAGCCAGAATAGCCAAGAAAATGCTAAGCAAAAGTACAAAGCTGGAGGTATCATGCTACCTGACTTCAAACTATGCTACAAGGATACAGTAACCAAAACAGCATGGTACTGGTACAAAAACAGACACATAGACCAATGGAACAGAATAAGAACTCAGAAATAAGACTGCACACCTACAACAATCTGATTTTCAACAAAACTGACAAAAACAAGCAGTGGGAAAAGGATTCCCTATTTAATAAACAGTGTTGGGATAACTGGCTAGTCATATGCAGAACAATGAAACTAGAACTCTTCCTTACACCTTATACAGAAATTAACTCAAGATAGATTAAAGACTTAAATGTAAAACCCAAAACTATAAAAACCCTATAAGAAAATCTAGGCAATATTATTCAGGACATAGACATGGGCAAAGATTTCATAACAAAAACATCAAAAGTAATTGTGACAAAAGAAAAAATTGACAAATGGGATCTAATTAAACAAAAGAGCTTCTGCACAGCAAAATAAGCTATCCTCAGAGTGAACGGACAACCTACAGAATGAGGGAAAATTTTAGCAATCTATTCATCTGACAAAGATCTAATATTCAGAGTATACTTAAACAAATTTACAGGAAAAAAACACACAACCCCATTAAAAAGTCAGCAAAGGACATGAACAGATACTTCTCAAAAGCTAAACATCACTAATCATTAGGGAAATGCAAATCAAAACCACTAATGAGATACCATCTCATGCCGGTCAGAATGGTGATTACTAAAAATTCTAGAAACAACAGATGCTGGCAAGGTTGTGGAGAAAAAGGAACGCTTTTACACTGTTGATGGGAGCATAAATTAGTTCAACCATTGTGGAAGACAGTGTGGCGATTCCTCAAAGACCTAGAAAAAGAAATACCATTTGAACCAGTAATCCCATTATTGGGTATATACCCAAACGAATATAAATCATTCTATTACAAAGATACATGCACATATATGTTCATTGCAGCACTATTTACAATAGCTAAGACACGGAATCAACCCAAATGCACATCAATGATAGAATAGATAAAGAAAATATGTTACATATGCACCATGGAATACTATGCAGCCATGAAAAGGAATGAGATCATGTTTTTGGCAGGGATATGGATGGAGCTGGAAGCCATTATCCTCAGCAAACTAATGCAAGAACAGAAAACCAAACACCATATGTTCTTACTTATAAGTGGGAGTTGAACCATGAGAACACTTGGACACATGGCAGGGAAAAACACACAGTGGGGCCTGCTGGGGCAGGGGTGGGGGGAGGGAGAGAATGAGGAAGAATAGCTGATGGATGCTGGGCTTAATACCCAGGTGATGGGTTGATCTGTGCAGCAAACCACCAGGGTACACCTTCACCTGTGTAACAAACCTGCGCTTCCTGCACATGTACTCTGGAATTTAAAATAAAAGTTGAAGTAAAAAAAAATAAAAAACCTATATAGGCCAATACTACGTATCTGCTCGACAGATTCTGCATTAAGACCATAAATTTGTAATCTGTTATTTATAAATTTCTTTAATAGGATGTTTAAGGTATTAAAATATCAATTGTGAAGAACTGAAAATAAATCCAAAATAAATGACATAAATTTTATTAAATGGTTAACTAAAACAAATTTTATTAGAGATAGCATTTACGAGTACAGCTATAACTAAAGTAAAATTCTAGTGTTATTTGTCATTTAAAAAGAAGTTCTTTATAGATTCCTTAATCCTATATGGTTAATGGAATATTTCTGTGATGGTCAGTATTGTTTCTATGCTCCATTTTTGAAAGATGCATTGGCAACAGGGTTTTAACTAAAGCATCATTTGGAAAAATCTTCATTTACAATATTACTGCTGTATTTGTAGCAAAAAGTAAAACAATTTATTTAAATATGTCTGAAATGTATATTTGAGTCATTGAATACATAATTATATCAAGGTACAATTAAAATGGGACCAATAATTATTATATTTAGACAGAGTTTTCTCACATTGTTCCATATTGTTAGCAAGGATGTGCATATTAGAATAATATTTTGTTTACTGTTTTGGTAGCAGTGTGGCAGGTAAGGGTACTCTGCCGTTATTGTGCACACAATCTCCAAGAAACAGCCTAAACTCTCTGATCCTCAGTTGTGTCATCTGTAAGACGGAGGTAATGATACCGTTTTTCCTCAAGACCTAGCTGTGAATACTAAACAATTTGATACTTGTAGTATACCTAAGAATAGTGTTTGGCACAGAAAAATTACTAATAAATGGTAGCTCATATGACTAGTTACAGTGTTCTATATATATGTAGTCAGGTCTTTGACTAGTAATAAAATAATCAATTAAAACACCTGGTTTTATAAAACCCCAACAAGACTCTCGGGTTTTATTGTCTTTGTTTTCAAAATCTCAAGATAAATTATTGCAACTTTCTACATCACTTGAAGAGTAAACATGAATGATTTTACACGTTTTAAAATATCTAATGAGGAATTGCAATTTAAAAATTGTGATAATTGTGATGGGTACTTTAAAATAAAATTAATTACTTTTTTCTTTCTTTGTATTTTGAAAAATGTTTATCATGTAGAAATAAAAGAGTAGTGTTTTGCATACTCATATGCTTGTCACTTAGATTGGCCAATTAATATTTTAAAAAATATTTGCTTTACCTATTTTTAATTCGCTAAAATGCATAACATACAGACATCATATAATTTTACCCTTAAATAATATATAATCTGAAAGGCAAATATTGAATTTTTACTTTACTATAATGTATATGCTCAGGCAAATCACAAAGTAAATAGTTTGTGAACAAATACATAAAAATATCACAGTACTACATTTGATAGTGTAATATTCAACTAAAAATTTGTCAGAATGATTACATTCATGCAATTTCAACAGCCTGTAACATTGTGTGTAATGTTGTTGGACATATACATTTCTATAGAAATTTATCTCTTACTTTATTTATTGAAAGCAGTTTGCCATCTTATTAGAAATTATGATAAATGCTAATAATAACTCACATTGCCAGAAATCTATCTTTTTCTTACAACCTAGTTTTTCATTTTAACTAAGGTGGTTTTATTAAATATATAGATATTATAATTTAGGCTTACTGTATTCAAAATTGTAATTTATTTATATTTAAAAAGATAATAAAATTATGAAAGGGGTATTCAGCATAAATCTCTTTCTGTCCTGACAAACTTCCTTCAGTTTACATCTACTCTTGAACACATATAGAAATGTTCCACTGTTATTACCTTATTGTCATACCAGTCAGGGCTAGTCTGACAACTGAAGTAATGCTAAGTATTAGAAAAAAGAATTTTAATATAGGTAAATGGTTACAAAATTTCTTTCAAGTCCTTTAGGAAATAAAGGAAAGATGGCATGCAAAAGAACTTCTGGGCATATTGAATTAAAAAAAAGTTATATATTATCTGAACAGTAAAAGATTTAAGATATGAATTAAAAAAGTTATATATTATCTGAACAATAAAAGATTAAGATACTTATCCTAATTGCCACATAGAGAACACTGTACCCAATAACTATAGAATGCTTATTATTTAAAGACATTCATTAAAATTTACCAAAATTAACTATATGCCAGGCTATAAAGACTTAACCTATTTTAAACGATAAATACCATATATTTTTATCCAGGAAAATGTATTTTCTGATCAGTCCAAAATAAACTAGAAATCAATAATACAAAGATAACTATAAAATGTCTAGCCACTGGGAAATAAGGGAATGAACTTCTGATTGGTAAAATAAGAAATCAAAATGTAAATTGAAAAATGTTTTGAACTGAACAATAATAAAAATATTACACGAAAACTTGTGGATTATACGTGCATACTACTTCCATTGTGAGAACTGACAAAAAAAGGTCTCATTTTAATAAGAAAAATACCTGTGACCACATCCTTTATCAAAGTAGCAATTTTTACAAATAGTTGCAATTACTAGAGAAAGAAAGATGAAGTGAAATTAATTTTAAAATATCTGGATCAATATAGATACAGTTACAGACACTTCAGTTTGTTAGGGGGTGGGTAACAACTTTTATGCTTTAGTTCTTAACCACGCATTAACTATGACGTCCTATGATGTTGCCTACTGGAATGCCTAGATTATAGAATAATTTGAAGAGTATTTTTTGAATGAAAACAATGCTGTAAAACTGATTACAGTTTTCCTAAAATGTCATTATCTCTCACAGCTTTACATCTATCCTTGCTTGTTGTGTTCTGTGACCTTTTGTAGCTCTCCCCTTTCATAATTGAAAAACCATTCTTCCTTCAAAAACTTCACCTCAGATGACATCTCTTGATCTTTCTTCAGCACAGTGCAGGAAGCTCTTAAGACAGTGGGAGCTCTAAGAATGTAAAGCATTATTACTATTATTTGCCAAAGAACCAACCCATATTTCCTCCTAGGAAAACTGGTATAAAAATGTGTGCATTCATGCCTGAATTCTCTCCCTAAATTCTTGTAAAACAATTATTACTATATTGTTATAGTTTTTCTTATCATTTTATTTTAGTAATTATAAGTGTGGAGCTTAAAACACACCTAGTATAATGTGGTATGTACGATATATGTTATGTATAGGTTTCCTCAAATCATTTTCACACCCATTATTCTGTCCTATTGTTACTGAGGAGCAAAATACCTCAGAAATCTAAATTTAAAAAATTAACAGTTTGTAAAACTAATATTTTAGACCTAATTATATCTAAGATTCAAGAGGAATATAATCCAACCACATATTTTAAAATCTATTATAAGACATGTTAGGCAATTGTTATATTATTATCTGCTTTACTTCACAAAACAGCTATTGCTGATAATTATGATTCTTAATTTGTACAAAAATGATTATATAAAATTAGATTAAGTGACTTGTCAAGGTTACAGAGTAGAAATCTAATTCCAAAATTATCAGATGCTAAGTCCTGTATGTCCACTTTCATCTTTCCTAAAGGAGATCCAGAAAGTAAAGGTGAAAAAGTAAAAGAATAAAATTTCCTGTTTCAAAGTTGATTAGAAAGAATATAAGTCTGAATGCAGTATCTTGGTTTAGTTTGCCAAATTTTCCCTTCCCCTGTGGAAATAGCTATAACATTATTTCTTATGCATGAATCAATCTTCCCTGGAAGAATCCTGTGTGGTAATATATGATGAATACAGAATGTTCCCCAAACATATGGATACGATAAGCACAGCCATATACCGGGTAGACTAAGGATTCTATCACATTTCATGAACTGAAATTAAAGTCAAATGATTTATGAGTTCAACACCATTTATATACATACAAATTATTTCTCAGAAACATCCTGTCTCTTAGAAAGTATAACATTTTAAATGGAATTAACTTAGGCCTCGATAATATAGTTCTTAGTACTCACTCCCTAATAACCTTCTACCAATTCATTTTTTCATAGCGAAATTTAAAAAATACAACTTTGAATTCTCAAAATCTATTGTTGTTGTTATTATTATTATTGCTGTTGCTTCACTCATGTTTGTTTGCCACTTGAAAATTAGCCACACTTAGGAAAGCACATTTGAAAACGCTGCAAATCAAATGCCATACTATAGCTGTGAACTTGGGAAGAATTCAGGCCAGAAGGAGAATACTGTCTTGCAGTGCGTGCCATTTGTGACATTTCTAAAAAAACATACCTATACAGTGAAAAACATTTCTAAACACATGAGCGGAAGTATTTATCAAATGCTTTTTTTTTTTTAATAGATGAAGGTCTCACTTTACTGCCAGGCTGGTCTTGAACTCCTGGCCTCAAATGATCTTCCCATCCCACCTTGGCCTCCCAAAACACTGGGATTGCAGACGTGAGCCACTGCACCTAACCTCAAATGTCTTTCTTTACAAAGATTGGTTTGCTAAGACTTATGATGTTTTTATTTTTGTTTTTTGTTTTTTTTTTCCAGAATGATACGGTTTGGCTGTGTCCCCACCTAAATCTCACCTTGAGTTCCTATGTGCTGTGAAAGGGACCTGATGGGAGGTAACTGAATCATGGGGGCAGGTCTTTCCTGTGCTCATGATAGTGAGTAAGTCTCAAGAAATCTGATGGTTTTTACAAGGGGGAATTTTCCTGCACAAGCTCTCTTTGCCTGCTGCCACCCATGTAAGACGTGACTTGCTGCTCATTGCCTTCTGCCGTGATTGTGAAGCTTCCCCAGCAACGTGGAACAGTAAGTCCAATAAACTTCTTTCTTTTGTAAATTGCCCAGTCTCTGGTATGTCTTTATTAGCAGTGTGAAAACGGACTAATACACAGAATAAAAGTAACTTCAACATGTTTCATTTTCTCTTGGAAAAGTGCTATGCTTAAAAAGATTGTTGCCAAATTTATCTTTCAAAATACAAGTCAGATGTTTTAATTACTGTCTTCAGATGATTTCAGTGAGTCCTCAATATTAAAATAATAAAGCAAAACTTCTTTAAATCTTTCAAGCCACTAGAGAGCTTGCTGTTTTTTTTTTTAGCTGTTTAGTCTTATCTCAATACTGTCGCTATAACTAATTTTCTATCAACATTACACTGTCCATACAATTCCTGACAAATAAAGAACACAGGAAGACAAGCAGGTTCCTCCCCGCAACACCCGACTTTCTTTGATTTCTAAGATAGGACAAGAAAGTCTGATTCATACCAAACAAGAAACTTCTGAAAACATGATGCTGAGCTTCACAAGTCTCAAGGCTGAGCTGAGTTGTTTACTCATCTAATAGGGACTGCAAGGCCCTCTTGAGCTGGGCATTCGAAACTTCAGTGCATATTTAACTACGCACATATTTAGCACCAGTACAGTCTTTTTAAACTAACTTGGAAAAATCTTTCACTAACCAAACCTTGTAACTGATTTGCATCCTGGGTCACTAGCCATGTGTGTTGTACTGCATTGCTACATATCTGTGAAAGTGTGGCTTAAAATGAACACATTTTAATAAATTAAAAATCACACCCCTAGTTCAGTTCCCCCAATAATATAATAATAAACAAAGTTTTGAGTAGCTTCTGGATAAGGTTGAAGAACAGAGATCAGATTTACCTTCCTACTTGATACAAAAAAGAAAAAAAAAACTGGACAAAACTAAGGAAACAATGGTTTCAAGCCATCAGGCAACAAAAGATGGCAACATCTGAGACAGGAAATAGATGATGAGAAAAGAAGCACAGACTAAAATACAAGAAGAGAGAACATGAATATGGTTGTAAACCAAAAGAGGTTCTCAAATAAACAGCACACTTTTACAATATCTTAAAAAAGGGTATCCTCTATCATAAATCCTGAGGACAAATCAATGTATTACCCTGTTAAGGAATGCAAGGTCTATATGAGTGCTGAAGGAGTTACTGTATTCTCCATGTAGCAAATATTAGGTTGGTGCAAACATAATTGTGATTTTTGACATTACTTTTAATGGCAAGAACCACAATAACTTTTGCACCAACTTAATACTTCAATGGGAACATTAAATTTCCTTGAGCAGTATAACCTATTTCTGTGACAATATTCTAAGACTTAAACTGTTAGAGCGATGTTTCCTATTCTGACGACCATGAGGTGATATTGTTATTAGTCCTCACTCTGATGATGCTCCAAGTCCTAAATTTAAGTCTTAAGGTTTGATAAATGCCAAGTCCTATTTAAGCTCTTGTGAACCTGATCTACATCAAGAAGGCTATAAGGTCTAACAGTTAGGAAACTTATACTTCATTTTATCGCCCAACGTATTAGGTCAACAACTGTACATTTTTAAAAGTCTTTATTCCCCCCCACCCCGCAATATTTAAGCAGGATATTTTATTGTCTCAGATTCTGACAAAAATTTTATCACCTGAAATGTAACAAGATGGAAAAAAATAATGCACGATTCTTGTTTTTTTATATTCTTCTGTTTAGTGTAATATCATCTGATTACAAAAAGTTCTGTATTTTCATGCAATTTTTTAAATGTATTCTTATTGTCCAATTATGTGAGATGTATGGGTAAACTTGATACAAACATCTTATACAGGTTAATATATTTAGTTAGAAATGTGTATTTGGCACCTCTTATGTGCCAGGAAATGTTCTCAGTGCTAGTTAAAAAGTGATTTTGATGCACCCAAATTCCTAACTATATGAGGTGAATGAATATGTTAATTAGCTTGATTGTTATAATCATTTAATAATATATTTATATATAAAATAGCAAAACATTGTATACATTAAATATATACAATTTTTATTTGCCAAGTATTCTTCAATACAGCAAGGGAAAAATGAATATACTATCTGTATCAGTCAGGGCACAAACAGTGAACAGAAACGAAACAGAAGTTTGAACAGAGAAGATTTCATACAAAGTGTTTTTAACCGTAATAGGAAACTGGAGTAATGAGGTATTGGCTAGAAGAAGTAAGGAGAACCCTAAGCAGTGTGGGGCTAGCAGACATAAGAAGCCATCACTATATCTTGGGCTGAGATAGTGTGCCCAAGGAGGAGGCTGCGCCCCCAACCCCAAAGTCTGGAGGTCATAAACAAGGCCCACTATATAGTAGAAAAGTCACTGTGCTAGCAGAAATTAAACATGTTTTCTAGGGTTCTAGGGAAGGTTTCATGGTGTGGGGGACGGGGTATCCCTGTCTCACCACAAGCTACTAAACTACCAAGGGCAGGAGTGTTTTCCATAGGGTGACTAACTTGTCCTGGCTTGTCCAAAAATGCCTATTTTTAAAGTATAAAGTCCCATATGCCACAAACACCCGCAGTCTTGAGCAAACCAGTATGGTTGGTCATCTGGATTTCTGATAACAGCTTCTGGCCACTAGGAGCTTGTGGCTGCTGAGCACTGCAGATGCTGAGCACTGGAGAAACTGCACACACTACGAGAGCCTGGCACTAGAACTTTGCCCATGTTGCAGACACTGGGCACTGAGGAAGCCATGGGTGCTGCAGGAGGTGAATGCTGGAAAAGCCACACACATTGCAAGAGCCAGCTGACAGTGCAGAATTAAGGCTTGGAGAAATTATGTCATGGGGATATATTAAAGAATGTGACATCATATCACATTTCACCTCCTTCATATTAAAGAAGATGATATACTTCAGAAATGCAGTAACTAAAAATGACCCTAATTAATTTCATTCCTTGGGACAATTTCATTGACTCTTCCAATTAGTGAATAATTCCAGTACTCCCCAACAAGGTTCTGCACAAAGGACAACCATACATGTGTTTTTTGAAATGGGACTGGAAAGTCAATAGACAATATCTTACCTGGGGTTGGGCTAGTGGCATTGATCGTGGACTCTCAGATTCCTTGAGAACACATGAACGCTGCTGCATGAAACTAGCAAACCACTGGCTACTTAGAGGGTTTAGCAGAAGACGTAGAGCGGCAAGACAAGTAAGCAACATGCTTTTCTGGGTCGAGCTGGGTAAGAAGATTTTGTAAGGACCCATGCAGCTCCCTAGTGTCTTGATACTTGTGGGGGCTGGAGAAATGTCTGTCGTGTACTACCAACTGGTCACAAATAAGCATGAGTGTTTTCATGAGCCTCCTAGATATATGTGTATCTCTTAACTCCACAATCTAAGATTACAAAGTAAGAAACAGGCAAGCTCACCAGCTAGAATCAGAGCATAAAAGCACTGACATCAAGGTCCAAACTGCCCGCACCTGTGGCAATTGACTAAACTCCAGGAAAACAGAATCCATTATTGACCCACGAAACAGACTTCCCACTAAGAAGGAGTAAGCAGGCTCCTTGTAGAGAAAGCAACCAAGCCTGGAAGGCTTTTAACTTACCTCCTTCACAAGCAGCTGAAATAATGAAGCAATGTTGTCCAGCTCACTGTCCTGCAGAGAGGAAGAAGACCTAAAATCAGTTTGAACAAAGTCAAAGGAAATCCAAAAATTGACAAGGAAGTAAGTTAATGTTATCTGAGTGACCCTTATTCGTGAGTTAAGAACTTCTATAACTTTACATTTCATACTGCATTTCCTCCTAACAATTTTGTGAGTTACATTTTATTATCCTCATTTTACAAGTGAAAAAGGCGAGGCTCCTGGAGTTGAAGGAAATTGACCAATTTTTCAAGAACTAATAAGTGTCAGACCCTGGAGTCACACAACATTCTCTTCTCTAATGGGCTATGAGTAGACATGGCCCTTATTTTGACTTAAAATAATAATCAATAGAAAAGAATAAGAGTAAAGTACATTATATTATACTTGCTTTTGTTTATGAATAAGATAATGCTTCAAAAGAAAACACAATTGTAGAATTCAGGAAATCACTTCAATGAATATTCTATCCTCTGGGTGTTCCCAGAGGGAGGAAGAAACTGCCACATTCTCTGGCCACCTTGACTTCTCTCCAATGCCTTTAAATAGATTTTTAAAATCGTATCTAGTTTTCTAGTTCTTCCTGATGTGAAGTTTGCTGTGCTGCAAACTAGTTAATCATAGTCAGAATTGAAAGATAAACAATTTTTAGAAGGAAATTGGTCATTATCTGACTGACTTTTAATTATGTGCATATATTAAGCTAGTACATACACTTCTAAAATTTGTCCTAAACACAAGTCACATATATGTATGAAAACATATGTGGAAAGGTTTTACTGTATTTTTCCACAATAAAAAAATTAGAAAATATTTAAATTATTTCAATAGAAGAGTTGTATTATATACATGATAGTATATTTATTCAATGGAATATTATGCATCAATTATAAAGAATGGAAATAAAATTACATTATATTAACATTGACAAATCATAAAGGGATCCTTATTTCTTACCTTATATGAAAATCAACTCAAGATGGGTTAAAGACTTAAATCTAAGAACTGAAACTATAAAAATTCTAGAAGATAACATTGGAAAAACCATTCTAAACATTGGCTTAGGCAAGAATTACATGACCAAGAAGCCAAAAGGAAATGCAACAAAAACAAAGATAAATAGTTGGGACTTAATTAAACTCAAGAGCTTTTGCACGGCAAAAGGAACAGTCAGCAGAGTACAGGGACAACCCACAGAGTGGAAGAAAATCGTCACAAGCTATACATCTGACGAAGGACTAATATCCAAAATCTATAACAAACTCAAGCAAATCAGTAAGAAAAAAACAAACAATCCCACCAAAAAGTGGGTTAAGGACCTGAAAAGACAATTCTCGAAAGAAGATATACAAATGGCCAACAAACATGAAAAAATGCTCAACATCACTGATGATCAGGGAAATACAAATCAAAATCACAATGTGATACCACCTTACTTCTACAAGAATGGCAATAATTGAAAACTCAAAAAACACTAGATGTTGGCGTGGATATGGTGATCAGGGAATGCTTCTACACTGCTGGTGGGGATGTAAACTAGTACAACCACAATGGAAAACAGCGTGGAGTTTCCTTGAAGAACTAAAAGTAAAACTACCATTTGATTCAGCAATTCCACTTCTGGGTATCTAGCCAGAGGAAAAAAAAAGTCATTATACCAAAAAGATATTTGAACACGCATGTGTACAGTAGCACAATTTGCAATTACAAAATCATGGAACCAACCAAAATGCCCATTAATCAATGAGCGGATAAAGAAACTGCAGTATATTGATATGATGGAATATTACTCAGCCATAAAAAGGAATGAATTAAAGGCATTTTCAGTGACCTGGATGAGATTGGAGACTATTATCCTAAGTGAAGTAACTCAGGAATGAAAACCAAACTTAGTATGTTCTCATTGATATGTCGGAGCTCAGCTATGAGGACGCAAAGGCATCAGAATAATACAATGGACTGTGGGGACTTGGGGTAAGAGTAGGGAGGTGAGAGATAAAAGACTACAAATATGGTGCAGTGTATCCTACTTGGGTGATGGGTGCACAAAAATCTCACAAATCACCACTAAAGAACTTACTCATGTAGCCAAATACCACCTGAAGCCCAATAACTTATGGAATAAAAAGGTTAATTATTGAGTGTAGGAGTTGTTTCATAGCAATAAATACAGTAAGTTCCACTAATGTAAAGTAAAAAGGTATGAGTGTATTTAATGTATAAAATGTAGACAAGATGTAATGCTTTTCAAAATAGTCTTTAATGAAGACACATATTTTATTTTTTAATTTTAAAAGTTGGCAGGCCAGCCCTTTTATAAAATTTGATTAAAATGAATAACTGATTACATCTTTTATTACCATGAGAATGTCAATTGCTATAAAAGTTTCTAAACATCTCTGTAGACTGAAAACTACCCTTTCCTAGGCTGGCATAGCCCATCAACTGCCCTTCAAGTAGCATAGATTAAGACTTTCCGCAAACTACCGTAAGTAATTTTAGGCATGATTGGTAGTGAAAGTTAGACCATACATTAAATTGAATTGTTAAAAATCTTATAAGCTTAGTATACACGTTTTTGTTACTTGCATACAAAATATTTAAAGGAGAGTTATCCACTATTTTATTGGTATGGTCTGATCTGTCCCAGCTATTATATATGTGATTTCTTCAAACATGCAATTTTTTTATTTTTCGTTTATTAATTTTAAAGAAATGTATTAACCTCTAATTATAATACATTCTCTGTACTGGATCCTTTTCTTAGGCATCAATTCTGAATGAAGTATCTTCTTTTGTAGACTTATTTTTAGCGTATAAATTTAATTCTAAAGCAATTGACCTCAGACCTCTCCACATTGTATATTTATCATGTAACATAAAATCAATGATCAAAGATACAGTGAATTTTAAAAATGCATTGTAGTATTTCTCTTCAGTTGAAGTAATCACTTTGAAAGTGTGCATTGTTGAATAATGGCCGAGCATACTTATCTTCCTGAATCAGCTGCCAAGGAGACCAGGAACCAACTTTCAGTGATTACTGAAATGCATATCAACAAGTGTCTTTTCCTTTTTTCTATTTATTTAAGACCTATATTTTGTGGACCCACAGTAAACTAGTATAATATATTATATCATAGTTGGTTGATATCAGCTGTCCTTCCATGTACATATACGTGGCTCTTCGAATAAAAATGTGGAGTCTAATTCTCCCCTTGAATTTGGGCTGTTAGGAACTTATAGATTGCAGTTAAAGTCATGCTGTGAGACTTTGAGGCTATATCATAAAACGGGCATTTTGACTCTTTATGTCTCATTTATTTATGTATTCATTCACTCACTAATTTATTTGTGCAGCAAACACAAACAAATATCTGTTACATTTTGTGATGTTGAAAGAGCCGTAATATTACCAAGCAATCAACACGCTCTTTGCCTGATGTGCATAGAGGCGAATACCATGGTATGGGCTTTCAACCAAGGAAAAGCTTTATTTCTAGTCAACTGGCAAGCAGACAAGAGGATATGCTCAAATCTGTCTCCCTAAGCTCGAGTTTGGGTCAGCTTTTATAAACATAGGATAGTGAAATGTAATCTGATTGGATCTTATAATGAGGTGGTGCTGAGGGGCATGATCTGACTGGTCCTGCCATGAGATTACACCAGAGCTTGATCTGACTGAATCCTGGATGCTCCCATGGGGTGTCCATTTCTAAATTCAGTCCGCGCTCCTCAGACTGAGCACTTAGGGTCCCCCTGTGGCTGTACACTTGCTACATCTGGGCGTGCTCAGGTTGCATGACTTTCAACCTGAGAGTCCATGGCAACTATAAAACAACTCATAACTTTGTAATGTAAAAGTTGTAGCAGATTGGCCTGATGCAGTTAAAATAGCTCTGAACAGACATGTACTTATCACCGTATTAATGTAATCCATGTAAGTGCAGATTTTTCTGGCACTCAAGAAAAGGGATACTGATAGTCTTCTCCCAAATAATCAAACACCATTGATACGTTTGATACTTCCTAAATTTATATGTACACATAAGTGTATTACTGTATGATTCATACCTATGCTATCAGCTACCTGCTGAATACACCACCATGAAGATATTTTATTGGTTAGCTCAGACATGATAAATCAATGATGTTTTTCCTCTCAAATCTGTGTTTCATTATGTATTTTTTATATTGGTGAATGTTAGAAGTATTCACACATTTGCTCAGGTCAACCTTTATTCATCCCTTTGCCTAATAATGAGTCAGTGACCAAATCCAGTTAATTTGGTGTTCTCAAATATCTCTCCCAATTATCTCAATACCCCATCTCCTCAAATTATCTATAGACTCCCATGTTTTCTATAATTGAATATTAAAATAACTCTTTATATTATTCTGTCTCAAGTCCATTTGGAACATGACAGCTTGTGTTGCATTTTTCCCCCCAAAGTTAAAATGTGTTAGATCCCTGTCTTGATTAAAACGTTTCAGTAGTTTCCCATTGTGTTCATTGTGAATTCTACTCCATAGCACAGGATGTGTAAGACATTTATGATCTAACCTTTCCTAATTATTTCAGATCTGTCCGTCAGCTTGTATTCCCTCACATGCAAAGTTTCAATCAAGCTAAACCTGCTCTTCCCAACACTTATCATCCTCTGTTACCTCTTGGCTTATGCATTTGGCATTTGCTATGCTGAATATTTAAACTTCTCCTATTCATTTTTGCCTGGTTAAATTTCATTCTTCCCTAATTACTCAGCTTAGATGTTACCTTCTAGTGAAGAAATCTCTGAGCATTTAAATGTATTTTATTGGTTTCTCTATAGTATTTTAGCACCTTACGTACTTTCGCACAGTGCTAGTATCTAGCAGACAAATAGTCAATAGTAACAATTACTATTATTTATATTTAGTGGCTACAGTTGTGACCACATCAACAAATGTAAAAGAAAAACTAATAGACTAGAAGGAAATGCAGTGAAAATTATTGCAGTTGTAAAGTATAAAAAAAGTTTTCGCAAAAATAAGCTTATATTGAAATAAAAAAGATGCATTGAAATTTTTTCAAATGAAAAAGATTTGCTCTTTGAAAATCACTATTAAAAATGAAAAGGCAAGCTAGAGACTTGGATAAAATATTTGCAACACCTATTTAAGAGGACTTGTATCCTAAATATATAAAGCCCTCTTTTAATATGATAACATAAAAACAATATACAAAATGGGCAAAGATTTTAAGAGACTCTATAAAGAAATATGGATAGTTTTTGCCAGTTTCACTGGGGAATGGGTATGCAGAGTTCCTTATGTGGTCATACCAGAATTTAATATTTTAGGGGGTGTTTTTAATATTATTTTACCAGTATAAGTAGACTTTGTTTAACAATAAAATTTTTAATGGATTTCCAGAGTGTTTACAGACAATTTTCAGTTATTTTATTGAGAAGCTATATTGACTTATTTTCCAGTGACACAAAATGTAATGCATTTACTAAAATTTCAGGTGCTCTTTTCTTTACTCTTATTTATTTCTTTTTTTATTTTCATTTTTTCAGAGGTTTGCCAATCAGAACTTTGAATTTAATTTTGTAAAAAAGAAAACAAAGAAAGTCAAATAAGCAGGCTGTGTGCTTTTTCTTCCTACAAGACTGCTATCATCTGGGTAACCATGCAGTCCTTCTGGATGAAACTCAACAAATCTTGAGTATGACAGACCATCTTCAATATGAATGTCTATCACTAATTTGTTATTTTTTCCAGTTAATTCAAGGACACCGTACTCTATTCTACCCATTGTCTCTTTTGCATTGAACCCACCATTATATTTATAAAAATGATAGTTTCACTCCAGAGAACTGGAAACATAAAACATTTTATATGTACCTACAACATATGCTGCATACATGGACAGAAATTAAATTGATTTCCTTTATTCCTTGATCCTTATTTTCAACATCAGGGATGAAGCAGGAGTTTAAATATGTACATTTATGTGCACATGTGGAAAATATGCTAATTGAAAAAGTCATAGATATGGAAAATATGCCACAGTTCTCATTTTTAACTTACTGTTCATGGAATCTAAAAATATGATAACTACTACCTTGGTAGATGGAGTGGCAGGGGGGCCTGTTATTTTTGAGGCTGCTATCCATGGGGAAAAATAATTAAGAATTGATACATAAATCAGAGAGAAAATGAAGAATTTGCTGTCATAAAATTTATGAAACATAGAGTTTGAAAATGACTGATAGTATTTACTGAGTACATGTTATTTGCCAAGCAAGGGGCAAGTAAGGAACTAAGTAGTTTATGCAAGATAATTACCTTAATTTTCACAAGAATGTGAGGCATAAATTTTAATTATGGCCTTTTTACAGATGATCAAACTGAGGTCATGAGAGGTTAAGGAACTTATCTGAATTCACATGAAGCTGAAATGCATCGTACGTAGCTTAGAGACTAACAGTTACAACAAAAATGTTCAAGAGGATGTGTTGCTTTTAAGATAACAAAGCTATACCTATTGAACAATTTGCAATTCCCATCTGATAATGATGATCACGATTGTAAGCGTGTGCATGTATATAATGTGTAAGTTGTGTGCACCTACACATAGTTGTGTGTGTGTGTGTTTTAGTATATAAATAGGTATGGCATACCTGCACAGATGTAGTTATATACACACTTAATATGTATATGGGTAGAGAGAAAGGACAGAGAAACAAATATGGAAAGTGCAAATAAAGGCTCTGAAAACAATGAAGTGAAACAGATTTTGATTTGTATTGATTAATGGATTTAGTGATACTATTATCTCCCTGCTGAAAATAAACTGACTCTAATAATTCAAATTACAGCTATTTGGAAATCATGAAGTTTATGAAGTATTTGAAGATACTGACAAAATTTGCTTTTGCCAGGTCAGAGCAAACTTTGCCAAATAAAGTTGAATAAAATTGACATAATACTAATAACTTAATGAAAATAATAGAATACATTGTTTTACACCTTACTAAGAGTGTATACTGTGGAGATACAATGCTAATGAGATGTGCAAACTAATCTCAGTGAGACAGCCGATATTGCATTTTGTCCTGTAAAATTTGAAACTAATAGCATGCAGACAACATTCTTGGCTTTCAAACTAAAGTTAAATGGTAGTGCCTATTGAGAAAGTCATGGGCGCTGCGGGCTCAATATTGGTCATTAGAGATGTATAATTGAGCTACAATTATGGTAAACATGTGACAGTTTTTTAAAACACTGGCAACCTAAGAAAATATATCTTTATAATAAAATGTATTTCCTAAATTTCAAATTGTGGATAACTTAAATTTTTGAAAATCTATAATAATTTGCCAAGGAATATAAAAATTACAGAATGACAAATCATCAATTAAATATAAGATCCAAGTTTTAGATTTAAAAAAATCTTTGTAACCATAGTGTGTTTTAATTGCATTTTCATGATTCATTTAAATTCTAACTATTTTAGAAATAAGCCACATAATATGCTATGGTACAATACAAACCATTCCAGCACCAGGGGAGTTGGTTTTGCTCTCAGTTTAAGGGCTGGAACTTATCTTGTGGGAATGTGATAAAATTATTCTTAACTCTAAGGGATTTTCTAACTCTTTGCATAGAATAGCCTTTTTGTTTCATTACAGTATGATTATTGAGAAAGGAACCTGGTTTAGAGAAAGATTTTCCCAAATTATGAGCATTTTTTAATTTTTAATTTTAATTATTATGGCTGCATAATAGTGATACATATTAATGGGATACATATGATATTTTGATGCAAGCATGCAATGTATAATGATCAAATCAGGGTAATTGGGGCAGGCATCACCTTAAACATTTATCATTTCTTCGTGTTAAGAATATTCCCATTTTGGTTTTGATTTGCATTTCTCTAATGACCAGTGATGATGGGCTTTTTTTCATATGTTTGTTGGCAGCATAAATGTCTTCTTTTGAGAAGTGTCTGTTCATATTCTTTTCTCACTTTTTGATGGGGTTGTTTGGTTTTTTTCTTGTAAATTTGTTCAAGTTCCTTGTAGATTCTGGATATTAGACTTTTGTCAGATGGGTAGATTGCAAGGCTGTGGAGAAATAGGAACGCTTTTACACTGTTGGTGTGAGTGTAAATTAGTTCAACCATTGTGGAAGACAATGTGGCGATTCCTCAAGGATGTAGAAACAGAAATACCATTTGACCCAGCAATCCCATTACTGGGTATATACCCAAAGGATTATAAATCATTCTACTATAAAGACACATGCACACATATGTTTATTGCAGCACTATTTACAATAGCAAAGTCTTGGAACCAACCCAATGCCCATTAATGATAGACTGGATAAAGAAAATGTGGCACATATACACCATGCAATACTATGCAGCCATGAAAAAGGATGAGTTCATGTCCTTTGCAGGGACATGGATGACGCTGGAAACCATCATTCTCAGCAAACTAACAAAGGAGCAGAAAGCCAAACACCGCATGTTCTCGCTCGCATGTGGGAGTTGAACAACGAGAACACATGGACGCAGGGAGGGGAACATCACACATCAGGGCCTGTTTGGGGGTTAGGGGCAAGAGGAGGGAGAGCATTAGGACAAATACCTAATGTATGCGGGGCTTAAAACCTAGATGATGGGTTGAAGCAAACCACCATGGCACATGTATACCTATGTAACTAACCTGCACATTCTGCACATGTATCCCAGAACTTAAAGTAAAATTAAAAAAAATAAAATCCCGGAGGAGGCAGAGCATGAGTGAATAAAAGCCTCCACAGATTGTCCTCCTGGCAGGAATACCAAACTGAACTACAATCCACACAACAAAGCACCTTCATAATAACCAAAAATCAGGTTAGCTATCATAGTACCTGGTTTTAATATCATATCAAGGAAAGGCACTGAAGAGGGTAGAAAAGACAGTGTGAATTGCTGGCATCACTCCACCCTCATCTTTTTGCAGTGGCCACGCTACTCAGAGAGAGAATCTAAGTGCTTTGAGAAGAGAGAGCACAGTAATTGTGGGACTTTGCATTGGAACCCCGTGTTGCCCTGTAACAGGGGAAAGCAACACCAAGCAGAACTCAGCTGACACCCACAGAGGGAGAATTAGACCAGCCCTATCCACGGGGCAATCACTCATCTCAGCAGTTGGGACCTGAGTTCTAGCTAGCCCCACTACCATGAGATAAAGGGCTCTGGGTTCCTGAATAAACTTGAGAGGCAGTCTAGGCCACAGAATTGCAATCTCAGACAAGGCCTGGAGTTGTTCTGGGCTTGGACCCATGGACTTGTGGGGCATGCAATCCAGTGAGACACCAACTGGGAAGGTCCAGGGAATGAATACAAGTTGTAGGCAGGAAGTAGTCACCATGAGCCTGGGGTGGTGGTGGCCACAGGGAGAGACTATTCTACTTGTATAAAGGGGAAGGAAGAGTGGGAAGGATTTTGTCTCATGGTTTGGGTGCCAGCTCAGCCACAGTAAAACAGAGCATCAGGTAGATTCCTAAGGTTTGTGACTTCAGGCCCTGGCTCCGGATGGCATCTTGGAGACCACCAGGAACTGGAGAGAACTCATTGCCCTGAAGAAAAGGACATGATCCTGGCTGGCTTTGCCAACTGCTGATTGTAGGGCTCTGAGGCCTTGAGTGAACACAGGCAGTACCAAAGCAGTGGTTATCACAAGCCTTGGGTGAGACCGAGTGCTGTGATGGTTTAGATCTGACCCAGCACAGTCGCAGGGGTGGTGGCCACAAGGGTGCTTCTGTCACTCATCCCCCAGCTCCAGCAAGATCAGGAAAGAGAGAGAGAGAGAGAGAGAGACAGAGACAGAGACAGAGAGAGAGTTGGTTTGGGAGAAAGTAAGGGAAGAGAACAAGAGTCTCTGCCTGGTAATCCAGAGAATTCTCCTGGATCTTATTCAAGATCACCAAGGTGGTACCTCTACAAATATGCAATAGCCACAACACTACTGGCTGTGTAGCAGTAGATATGGCTGCAGTGACCAAAGATGTAGATTACAACACCCAATTCCTTTTGAAGACCTGGAAAGCTTTCCCAAGAAGGATGGGTACAACCAAGGCCAGGCAGCAAAGACTAAAATAATACCAAACTCTTAAATGCCCAGACACTCTTGAACATCCACAAGCATCAAGACCATCCAGGAAAACTAGTCCATTTGGTGAAGCCATGTTTTCCTGGATAGTCTTGATGCTTGCGGTTGTTCAAGAGTGTCCAAGATTGGAGTGACCAATTGGAGAGACAGAGATATGTGACTTCTTGGACAGAAAATTCAAAAGAGCTATTTTGAGGAATCTCAAAAGAATTCAAGATGATACAGAGAAGGCATTCAGAATCTTATCAGAGAAATTTAACAAAGAGATTAAAATAATTAAAAAGAAATTCCGGAGTTGAAAACACAACTAAAATACTGAAGAATGTATAAGAGTTTCTTAACCGCAGATTCATCAGGCAGAAGAAATAATTATTGAGCTTGAAGACAGGCTATTTGAAAATACACAAATGAGACAAAAGAAAAAGAAATAAAAGAGAAAGAAGCATGCCTACAAAATCTAGAACACAGCCTCAAAAGGGCAAATCTAAGAGTTATTGGTCTTAAAGAAGAAGTAGAGAGAGAGGGATAGAAATTTTATTAAAAGGGATTGTAACAGAGAACATCCCAAAGCAAGACAATGGTATCAATATTCAAGTTCCAAAAAGTCGTATAACACTAAGGAGATTTTGCCCAAGTAAGAATACCAGAAGACATTTAATAATCAACTCCCAAAGGTCAAGGATAAGGAAAATATTTTAAAAGCATCAGGAAAAATATAAGTACAATATGTTATATAACAATTAGTCTCTAATATATCTGGCAGCATTCTCTGTGGAAACCTTATAGGCCAGGAGAGAGTGGCATGACCTATTTAATTTGCTGGAGGAAAAAATAAATGTTGGTGAGGATATGGAGAATAGGGAACCCAAGTACACTGTTGGTGATAATGTAAATTATTACAGCCAGTGTAGAGAACTGTTTAGATGTTCCTCAAAAACTAAAAATAGAACTTTCACATGATTCAGCAATCCCACTGCAAGATATATACCCTAAAAAAGGGAAATCAGTATATCAAAGAGATATCTACACTCCCATGTTTATTATGGCACTCTTCACAGTAGCCAAGATTTGGAAGCTACCTAAGTGTCCATCAGCAGATGAATGTATTAAAGGAAATGTGGTACATATACACAATTGAGTACTATTTGCCCATAAAAATGATTGTGATCCTGTCACTTGCAAACACATGGGTTAATAATATTCTGTGGTGTATATGTACCACATTTTTTAATCCATTCATCCATTGATGGACACTTATGTTGATTTCATATCTTAGTTATTGTGAATAGTGTCATAATAAATATGGGAGTGCAAATATCTCTTTGATATATTGATTTTCTGTTTTTTTTTTTTTTTTGATATTGTATTAGTCCATTTTCATGCAGCTAATAAAGACATACCCGAGACTGGGTAATTTATAAAGAAAAAGAGGCTTAGTGGACTCACAGGTTCACGTGGCTGGGGAGGCCTCACAATCATGGTGGAAGGTGAGGGAAGAACAAAGGCATGCCTTACATGGCATCAGACAAAGACAGAATGAGAACCAAGGGAAAGAGGTTTCCCCTTATAAAATCATCAGACCTCTTGAGATACATTCACTACCAAGAGAACAGTAGGGGGGAAACCACCTCCATGATTCAATTATCTCCCACCAGTTCCCTCCCACAACACACTGGAATTATGGGAGCTATAATTCAAGATGATATTTGCGTGGAGACACAGTCAAACCATATCAGATATGTACCCGGAAGTGAGATTGCTGGGTCATATGAAATCTGAAGGTATGACTTGTGCTTCTTTTAGCAACTTGGCCACCAAGTGTTCTGTTACCCTTCATCACAATACCCAATATCCTCCCTCAAATCTTCAGAGAAACGTACAGCCTCACGTATCATAATTAACATTAACATTTGAGTATGAATTGTGTCAGATACTGTGTTATGCACCTTATTTACATTATTTTAATCTCAAAAATAATTTCATAAGTTAGGGCAGATGTTTTTCTCCATATTTACAGTTGAAACAGATGCTCATGGAAGGCACATAATCTTCCCAGAATAACACAGAAGTGGTGGCATAGCTGGGATTTGAAACCAAGTTTAATTAAATTCATTGTTTATTTTCTTAATGTCTATACTTGATATTTGACATTTTGGTAAAGGGCTATATTGACTATCTGAACTCTTGATATATGGAAAATCTACATTATTACAGACTTTGGTGGAAGTAGACCCTTTCCCTTTTCATCCTTGATAGAAAATGAGAAAGCTTGTTCTTGCTTTTCCAATGTTCTCTTCAATAGGGAACAGGTGTGTGACCCATAGCCTACCACTCTGCCTCACTTGCTCCAAGTGGCAACTCTGAAACACTAATGCAAATAAGAGGAGACTAGAAATAATTAATTGTGTGTTTGTGGAATTAAGAGTTTCATGGTGATCTCTAAATAAAAGATTCATGTTCTATGTAAAGGTGGCTTCTCTGTTTAGCTGAAGAGACATCAAAATATGTTCCCATAACCAGGGATTCTGATCCATGTCCATGACCTGCTAAGAGCTCTATGAGAAGGCTGATCAAAGGGTATCATTCATATGGCCAGGTGCGGTGGCTCACACCTGTAATCCCTGCACTTTGGGAGGCTGAGGCAGGCAGATCACTTGAGGTCACGAGTTCGATTCCAGCCTGACAAACATGGCACAAACCTGTCTTTACTAAAAATACAAAAAATAACCAGGGGTGGTTGTGTGCACCTGCAATCTCAGCTACTCGGGAGACTAAGGCAAGAGAATTGTTTGAACCCAGGAGGCAGAGGTTACAGTGAGCCAAGATTGCACCACTTGCACTCCAGCCTGTGCAGCAGAGGAGACGCCATCTCAAAACAACAACAACAAAAACAAAAAAAGGATATCTTAAATAAGTAAGAAATGACCACTTTTTGGAATATCTATCACAAAATAAAGAACAAGATCACTTTTTTCCTTAAAGCAATATTTAGTTTATTAGCAAAAAAATACACAAGCTGTTTTCATCAGCTTGTATTTTTTCCCCATAATAGATGTACATTTTTTATCTTGGTTGAATGACTCTTGCAAACTCTAGATGGCCTGCCAAACACTTCTTGTTATTCATCGTCGATTCACAAGGTTGTTCTTAACTCTCAGGTAATTATACATTTTTAAAACTTCCTGTCACCATTTTTGAAATGTGTGTAAATAACAGCTGGGCTATTGTTTTAATGTATACTGAAGCACACACAATCCATTTTTATGAAACAAAAAGCTACTGAGTCATTGGCATACCATTTTTTTTCTCTTACTTCTGCTTATAATCTTAAAACTATACAAATTGCCATTGGAGGGGAAAATCTACAGGTATATTGTCAAAGCCATTTTGTTGTCATGTTTCCCATTAGGAAAAAAATGTGTTATCATTAAAAAGGAAGGCTTGTAATAGATAGGCCAACAGAAGCAGTTTCCAGATTAATTTATATAGCTATCATTAGTTGTAATAGGAGCTATCTATGGAAATCCTGCATTTACGTATGAGGACTGGCTGAAGGGAATCAAGAAATTTGAAAACCCATAATATGAAAATTGTAAATTCTCAAAAGGATAAACACAAAAGTGTGAATTTTTTATATGTTTTTTAAAATATATTCATATTATACCATAAAGGAGTGAGGAAGAAGAAGTCTTCTTGTTAGTAGCTTTCTATTGGTATTTAACATATTCTAAACATTTTCACTAAAGTTGATTGAAAAATTCTTATGATAAATGTTTTTGAACACTTTTATGTCAATTTAGGAATCTGGGCACTTTTTGGGCTACCAACTTACATGACACCATCTCTACATTCAAGGATACTAAGTAAAGAGTTCCATAAGTAATTTACTGATAAATATGATATTTAAGGTATATAACTTGAATCACATTTAAAATATAGGTTATTTTAAATGTGAAAAAAGAAAAAAAGAATAATCATACATCAGTGCAAAAAAACACAGCAGAGGTGAAGAATATTGTTGGTCATAGCCAGAGTATATCAGTAGTCATTAAAAAACCAAAAAGGTAAATTGAGACAAAGAAAGAAAAACAAAACTTGAAGCTTTAGAACTGCATGTCCTTTCTCTTTCAGAAAAGGGAGAAAGGGGCTGGAATACAAGGAAGGGAGTCTATGCGTGTCAGAAATGCTTTGGCCTGGCCGGGTGCAGTGGCTCACGTCTGTAATCCCAGCATTTTGGGAGGCCGAGGAAGGCCGATCACGAGGTCAGGAGATTGAGACCATCCTGGCTAACATGGTGAAACCCCATATCTACTTAAAAAAAAAAAAAAAAAATTAGCCTGCGTGGTGGTGGGCGCCTGTAGTCCCAGCTACTCGGGAGGCTGAGTCAGGAGAATGGTGTGAACCCAGGAGGCGGAGCTTGCAGTGAGCGGAGATCATGCCACTGCACTCCAGCCTGGGCGACAGAGCAAGACTCTGTCTCAAAAAAGAAAAAATGATTTGGTCTGTAGCTGATATGTGTGGAGCTTAAGTGATAGAACCACTGTGTGTTAGAAATACAAAGAGTAGGGGACAGAGTGCTTTTATCAGCACATAAGTTTTCCAATTAGCAATGTCAAATGCAGTGTTAATTGAAATTACTGAATATTTTATTTAGCCAAAAATTTCAGCCTTATTATATTGTTAGTGTTGCAAAACATAACGTGAAGATTTGAAACTGAAATTTTGCTTGTTCACACTGATCCTTCCTTTTCCATGGTCTCTCTCCTAACAAACCAGTACATCTACTGCCCCAGAGAAAGAGACAATCTAGTCAGATTAAAACAAAAAATGAGTTGTGAATCTCAATGCATATTTTTAAGCCTTTTGCAGGAGTATTGTTAAAATGCTGTTGTTATTTGTTGCATTTTTAAAATTTTATTGTAGTAAGAACGCTTAGCATGAGAATCTATCCTCTACAGATTTTTAAATTTATGATAAAGTATTGTTATTGTGGTAAGAACACTCAACATGAGATAAGTGCATTCTTAACAAATTTTTAAGTGTACAATAAAGTATTAACATCTATAGGTACAGTGTTGTATAGCAGATCTCTAGAACTTTATTTATGGTGGATAACTGATATTTTATTTTAGTTCAAAAAGCAGAGCATCACTTATTAGAATGAAAGTCAGAAGGCCTCAGAGTTTACAGTCCTCAAACTGTAAATCTGAGAATGCATGATAATGCTAAATATCTTCTTCTCATCCAAAGGAGAAAAGAGTTTTATCACCAAGCATGTATCACAGGAGTAAAATTCAAATGGGCCTTGACTAAAATGTAGAAATGTTGAGTCTCTACAGTTACAATTTCCTACTTTGATTCATTTGGGTCAAATACAAAGAAAGATCAGCAGGAGTGTGAATGAAAATGCATAGGTAAGTATGAAGGTATCTTTGAACAGATAAGGTTTGTGCCTTGTTTATAATGTAAGACCTGCAGATAATGAAAAATTGATAAAATTAGGGTAGAGTAATCCCAATATCTGAGCGAGATACTTAAGGAAATAATGCTGAGGTGATTCAACGGTTCTTAACATTATATAGGAAATCATTTTAACCATCCCCATGTCTGCCGTAAGATCACAGAGATAAAGATGCTGGTAGTGACGGGATGATGATGGTGATCATAATGCCAACAGAGATGTCTACATTCTTAACATCTATTTTTTAAATCCCTCTAACAACTCCCTAATGTATGACCGGTTATTACCCTTATTTAGAGATGAAGAAAATTTGTCACAGCTAGAAATACTGAGAGAAAATCTAGACAGTAGATTCTTAAATTTAGAATGAGAAAAACTAAAAGTGGAAAAGAAAATCTGATAGACAGTCATGATAGAGATGGGGTTATCTGTAGCAAATGAGGCAGGACAGAGAACTGGCAGGATGTTCAAAGTTGTAGTAAAAGCTATGGAAGATCAAGTACATCACACCCACCAGAGGCCTCCTGGCTGAATGACTCATCATAGCCAACAGGGAAAACTAAAGTAGTTAGTTGACTTTCCTCAGTGGTCAGCATAGGCCATCCATGTTTCTCTAAAATAACCAGCAACCTCAAAAACATACTGTGTGATATTTTTATAAAAACTTTATATTCTTAAGCAACAAAGATTCATTTCTCACTATAAATTCTTAGCCATTTGGTTTACAGGAAGGCTTCTGCTCTGTTGTAATCCTTTAGAAACCTAGTAAACAGTAACCACTCATTTTGATGCTCCTAGTTTCTATGCTAGAGAGAAAACTAAAAATCTGCTTGGTTAATCTCACGTTGCATTTAAATGGGCTAGCCAATATATATGTGAATAATATGTCTCTTCAGTGACATGCTACTAATTTGTCTACCACTCATTTACTAATTCAGCGTATGGTCCCACCCAACCACAAAATGTTCCAGGAGGTGAAATTGTATTATGTCTTCAGAAAATAGAGAGCTGGAAATAATTAGTAAACTGTATTTCACTCTTTCGGTTACTAATATTTAGCTCACTTGTTTTTCTAAATAAAAATAGAGTATATGTCATTCCACAAGAGTAAGGACTCAAAATTCCTAGCCAGTTATAATATCAAACACAAAGCTCTGTGTCTTTGTAAGGTTTTTACCTCCTTGGTTTCATCACATGTGGCTATTAAATAATTTGCCCTTTTTTGGTGTCAGAGTGGCTTCTTCAGTCTTCTCATCCCTGTAGAATTTTGAGAGTTTAAAGATATTTTAAGCCTCAAATAGTCATAAATTTACAAACTTCCCATTTACTTTCTTTTGAAAATGGTTCATGTTTTTCTGTTTCGTTTTTTATTGTTGGATAATTGTGAATTTTATCCAGTTGATTGTGAAAATTTTGTTATGGAAGTCAGGTTATGTTGTAGTCCTCTGAAAAGTATTTGTATTGTTGTTTGTTTATTTGTTTTAGTAGGCAATTAACTTAGATCGACTCAAATGTAAGCCCTTTCTCTTGGAGAGCAGTTCGAGTTTCAGCACATTTCTTAAAATCTGGACCACGCACGTATGCAGTGATTCAGGAGCCAGTCAGAGGTGTTGGCAGAGAATCTACATACGCAGCATGTGGTGCTTTCTGCTCTGGATTTCTCCTTTACTAGATTCCCTTTCACTTTTAAGTGGTGTTGGTTGCCTGAAACACTTATATTTCTTCATGGTAGAAAGACTGTGTGTTTTCTTTCAAATTCTAACCACGCAGTGTGGCACTAAATTTGGTCACTTCTAAGTCTTAAGCTATTAGTTCTAGAAACTCACCTTGTGCCTTTCCCTTCTTATAAATGCTTGTTTCCTTCCAGATTTACTTGCATTCTTTTATTTTTCCCCAAAGTTTACAATATTTCTCTCTGGGAGGGAAGATCCAAGAGGGACTTTGCCATTTTGGAACCAGAAGTTCTGAAATTAACTTTTCAGACAAACAGTAATATCTCCTTTGTAACTCATGAGAAAAAAAGATTAACTGTCAAAATTTACGTTTTCAAAAGTTTGTCTTCTTTCCCGAGAGAAAAAAAAAAGAAAAGGTGTCTCCTCTACATGATATGAACCAGGAAACTTTAGTCCTATGAAAGAGAATAATGCCAAGTGTTTCCAGGTAAGATAAGGAAAGGTGACATTGTTAATAAGAAACACAAGTGGAATTGCTTGTTGTGGTAAATAATTGTAAAAAAATTGGCCTCAAAATTTGTCAGAAATTGACTCCCCAAATGTTACCAACACAATCTGTTGAAAAGTCAAAGTTGCATGTATTATAGACCTAGGTCATGGGGAACGTTACCTCATAAAGTTTGGCAGTATATCAGATGGAGATATTGGAAGTTTGATATAAGGTTGGTGTTTCATCTGGCAGTAGATCAGATGGAGATATTGGAAGTTTGATTTAAGGTGGATTCAAATCAAGACACAATAGTACACAATTGTTGGGAACACTAAGGTAAGGATTTTGACACAAAGGATTCAGTGAATCTTATAGCACAGCAAACTAATGAAGTTTTTCATTGCAAAGTTGATTGATCTTCTGGGAAGTTTTCGTACTGATCTAAACTGCCAGAACAATGAAGTCATGCTAATGAAATCAGAGGAATAGAGAAATCATGTTAAAGTAGACAGTGAAATGTGGTTTCAGTTCTTAGGGTGCAGGGTGGATGTAAGTACGATGGTTTGGTTGCAATAATAATGGTGTCACTTATATTGCACAAGAACAAACATTACTACCTTTGAAACTGCCACCCATGACACAAAGTAAAAGGAGAAGATAACATAATAGAATCAAATTAACAAATAGCATCAGTTTGTTTTTCCTCACTTAAGTCTCCATAACCAATGTAGCCAATGACCCACTGTCCCTCACGTCAAGTAGTCTTTATCACTTTTCCCCCAAGAGCTAATGTGGATATTTAGATAATATACACTTTTAAAATGAACGTGCACTTTGAGTCCAACATGACCAAAGTTTACACCAGGTGCCGTACTAATTCAAATATAAATAAGAAATAAACCATGCCTGAATAAACAATTGTTTATAAATTACCCAGTGTGTTCTCTCTTTCTGCAATGTGGGATCAGATTCCTTCAGTTAGTGTTGTCACTCTATATGGGACTTTCTAGTTGCTTGTTCTCCAATTGCTGTATGCATATATGTGCTTCTAAGTAGTCACCTTCAAGTGTGTAGGTGTGTGGAAGGAGATTTATTCTAAGAATGATGCTCAGCATAAACTGAATCTTTTCTCATCTCTGTTAATCTTACCTATTTTAGGGTGAATCTAACTCGGATAGATTAGAATATTCTGTTTTATGCCTGTTTTCCAAATAGTATTTTTTAATATGGCCTTCTTTTCCTATCATGTATGCTTTCAGTTGAATGAAACCTTATAAGGTCACCATCACTATGATTACATACCAATGTAAGTCTAAACATTTTACTCAATCATTAATTTTTTTAGTTCACTATGTGACACTAGTGTAGGTTTCCCAGAAACTAAGACAAAGGTCAACTTTAGCGACATCACATAATAAGACACCAAGATTATTTCTCTTCACCGAACAAACCAAAGTTGTGTTTCTTGAGTCTCTTTTCTCTTAATATGACTTATTTGCACATCTAACACCACGGTATGAAAGCTTGTGGCTGACCATTGTATACAAACTATTTGTATGCTTGGTCAAACATATCAGGCTGTGCCTATCTTGTGCCTTTCATGAGACTCATGAGGTCTTTGCGACAATAGAAATCTGATTAACCTAAGTGTGGATGCCTCAAGATACCTGAAAAACCACATATGTTAGGCCAATGTGGTATATCGAAAGTGTTGAATTTAATATATCCTTGCTGGAAAAAACCTTACTTGAATGTTGTCGTGTAATTAGGAAGCAGATCCTGTGATTTCCTACTCCAGTTGGCAAGAACTCAACCAACTTCAAAGAAAAATAAAATACTTTAAGAAAAATGTATTTTAAAAGTAACACAGCATGACATTCAACTGTTTATATAGATATGAACAGATTGAATGAGTTTGATTAGGCCACTTTCCTGGTGAAAATTTCAGCTTTTAGTTGTCTAGTGGCCTTCAAACACGTATTAGAGGTCAGACAAAAGAAAAACAGAACACTCCAGCAAAGTCTTCATAGTTGTCTTAGCAGCTGGAAATTTGTGAACAAGTGAGGTGACATTTACAGATACTTTGATTCCTAGGGATGATTAGGTGACCTTGTTAGTCAGAGAAACTTTTAGCATTTTTTCTTCACAACTGAAAACATAACAGTCATGGGCACTATATTCTCTAAAGAGAAACACTTGGGCACACATAGCTCTGCATTCCCCAAAAACAGGTATTTAAGAAAAGAAAAAAATAATTTATTTAAACTCATAATTTCTTGAAAAATACTAAAACCAATAATTTTGAAACAGAAATTATTATGAAATAGCATTGTATGAAAATTTATTTTTAAAAAAGAGGCATGACAAATAGACTTTATAGGTTTAAACGATATATACATAATAGAAAGGGAGACAAAACCCTGAATTAAGAACGTAATTCCTGTAGTATGACTTTGGCAATTAGATATAAGAAGCAGAGAATCCTGGCATTTTCCTCCCAATTGTGCTTCCAGCATAAAGGATAATTAGAGGCAAGAGGGAAGAATATCTTACTATTTCCTGTCTTTCTTTGAGAATTTCCTTCTTCTGTAGTAAACTTTATCATTCTCATATTTTTTTCCCCTAATTTACTACCACTCTTTGATTCACACAACCTGTCTAAATAGTGTTTCAGGAAAAAAATATAGCAATCCTTATTATGAATATAAACCAAGCTCTCATTGCTCTTAGCAAATGTTGACATTTTAATATTTCTTAATTGTGGAATAAAGAACTCAATTGACCACTAGAATCCATTAGAAGAATGGCGAGATAGTGTGAAAATATCAATTCCTAGATATAATAATTTTAAGACAGTTTTTTTTTTTTTTAAATGGGAAAAGCAGATCTGGTCAACAAAGACAGAGATTTGGTCACACTACTGTAAAGAGAATGCAGGCAATACATATCAATTCTATTTACGGGAAGACATGTACAAAGAAGTAGATCTGAAAGGCAATCATCTGGACTTCCTTCATTAGGAAATTAACTAGGCTAAATTCAATTAACTTTGAATATATCTGCTGGAAAATCCTAGAAGTTAATATGTCAAAGTAAAAAGTAAGGTAGGAATTGCCTTCTCAAGTATCCCATTTGACCTAATATCCAGGCTCTTCTACTTGCTAATTTGTGCAAATGTGACAAAGTATTTAGCTTCTCTTTGAGCTTTAGTTATCCCCTTTGTAACAACCTGCATGCTTGTTTGGTGAATTAAATGAGATCACACATGAGCATGCCTATCAAATAGTGGTCACTACTTCCATAGTTCTTTATCATTTTATTTTTTGTATATAAATGAATAAAGCAAATGAGCAAAGAAGTTTTAAGAGATCTGCTCTTCTGCTACTAGAAAGCAATGCCCTGCTAGTGCACTCTTGGTCATCCTGGGGAAAGGCACACTTTAGTGTTTTAGTGCATATGCCAAAGATTTCATTTGTCTGTTTATTTTACTGTAATTTAATCAAAATTTGTGGTCTTAGGTCAGAAAATAGCTAATCTTATACATAGGTACAAAAGTCCAGAAACTAAGATTAATTTTGTTTTTGTTCATCTTTATCATGAAGTCTTATATTATAGTTATAAAACTAAAAGGTAGTTATGAGTACATTTATTTCTAGGAATTTTAACAACTTAATGTAAATTGTTTCTCAGTATCCATGGAGAATCAGTTCCAGGACTGCCCCAACCCCACTGCTACCAAAATTCACAAATCCTCAAATCCCTTACATAAAATGATGTAGTAATTGTATTTTACATACAGATATCCTCCCATATACATTAAATCATCTCTAGATTAATTATAATATCTAATAGTATATAAATGCTATGTGAATAATTGTTACATTACATTGTTTAGGGAATAATAACAGGAAACAAAATTTGTATGTGCTCAGTACTGAAGGCAATGATCCTTTTTTTTTCCCCCAAACATTTAAAATCCACAGTTGATTGAATCCATGACGCACAACCCATGGATACAGAGGGCTGACTGTATGTGACTGTTAAACTTTAATTGCTAGCACAAGAAAATATAGAAAAAAATAGAATTTATCCTGCTTCTCACTACATACTCAAAGGATGGATGTCAGTAATTGCCCACATTTTTCTAGTGTATTTTTAATATTGATACCCAGGTTTACTTTTAGAGTATAGTTTTGTGGTATGTAAGGGGATTCTGATTTTTGTAAGCTCACAATTGAAATCACATCCTTTAGCCAAAAATGTGTTTAAGGACAGCCAATAACTTAATATTAAGCTAATCATAGAATTTCTTTCTATAGCTACTGGTCCAGGTTAGACCAATTAGTGCAAAGTTTAATATTTGAATATAAACAAGGAACTGCATGTCCCCAGTTGCTAACAGTAGCTGTGCTATAACCATCAAGAAAGCTACACACATTAAAAGATCAAGCCAAGGCAACAGGACATAGAATATTACAAAATTGGAGTTAATTTCTTTATGAAGCCATGCCTGAAGGAAGTCTTGCCTCTGGACTTTTTGTTTACAATAATGTAATAAATCAACTTATTCTTTAATCCAGTTTGATTTTGATTTTCTGACATTTGCAACTGAAAGAATTCTAGTGGCTTGACCCAGCTCAAATTTGATAAATAACCCTCTCCAAAAATTTATTTTGAAAGCCCTTTAAGGATTTTCTAAATTGTCTTTTTCTATTATTTTCATGGCTTTCAACGAAATTGGGGTATAGAATTAGAAACTTTCCTTCCAAGAACGTTTATAAGACAACTTACAACTTGACTCTAGTTAGTTATCCATCCCCTGCTCTTTTATAGAAAAGATTTGTCTCGGCCAGGTGTGGTGGCTCATGCCTGTAATCCCAGCATTTTGGGAGGCCGAGGTGGGCAGATCACCTGAGGTCAGGAGTCAGAGACCAGCCTGGCCAACACGGTGAAACCCTGTCTCTACTAAAAATACAAAAATTAGTCAGGCATGGTGGCGGGCACCTGTAATCCCAGCTACTCTGGAGGCTGAGGCAGGAGAATGGCTTGAACCTGGGAGGTGGGGGTTGAAGTGAGCCAAGATCACGTCACTGCATTCCAGCTGGGCAACAGAACAAGACCCGGTCTCAAAGAAAAAAAATTGCCTCATCTCAACTGTTCCTAACAGTCTCCATGTATGTCAGACATAGTCCCATCTCAACATTTTGTACATGATCTTCTTATATAAAATATCTCCTTAAAAGAGTTTCTTCTTTCAAATTCTAGCACACGTTTCCATGTAGGAAGATCTCACTAATGTCTTTATAAAATCACTTTAATGCATCTCTAGTGTCCACTGTGAATCCTTTTTTACAAATACATGACTCCTATTTGCATGCCACTTGATGTTAATCAAAATATGTTTCATCATACAATCCTTACTGTTAAGAGCTGTATATTTTATCATATTTTATTCCCATTTCACCTAATACAAATCTATATACACACAACTACTTCGTTGTATTAATTTTTTAATTTGCCTTTGTATTCTTCAGAATTTGTTTGAACTGTAAATTGTACTGTAAGGTTGATACTGCTAACCAAATAATTTTCCAGAACTTCATATAGTTCTCATAAATCATGAGACTATGTAAATTTTATTGGAAGTGTCCCCCATTCAACAAATATTTATTAAAATTTTAGAGTAACTCAGTATACTGTCCATTGTTAGCAATACACAATGAATAACAGTCTCTGCTTTCATTGTCTGGTGGAGAAGGTATACAAAAATTAAATGCTAGAACTAGGGAGTTCTATTATTAGAGAGGGGCACCTCTGTAAGACAGGGTGACTATGTGTCTTCTTTGCTTAAGGAAGTCCCAAGATAGGCATGTTGTACTGGAATTCCATCTGTGCTGAAATTTGTTCCAGAGTTGTAATGTTAACAATAACACATTATAATTAAAAGTTTCATTCAAGTAAGGCAGGTCGATTTGGAGGGTTCCCTTTGTACTTGTAGTTTCTGTCATATATTTACTTATGAAATCCTTGTTCATTAAAGCAGGTTGACTCTTTGTAACACATGGTTTAATCTGAATTATGACCAGTGGTAACTGATCTCTGTTTTCATTAACACTTTCATATGAAATATAACCTACTATACATTTTCTTCTAGACGGCATGCAGAATTTAAAGCAAAAACATGTGAAGAGTGCTTAGACACTCATTATTACAGACAGCTATTCCTTCTAGTCTTGGGAAGTAATACAAGGAAGTATTCAATAGCACTGCCTGCCTACCAGACACTAGATGTATCAGCTAAGTTTACCATAGCTTATGGCACAGCCTTCATGCAAAGCTAAGACTTCAAGTCAGTGGGCTCAGTGGGAAATGTAGAAAATTAGAGATTTCAAATATAGGAAATGTGCGGCAAGTATTCTGAGCAATACAGCCATAACCTACACAGAGTAGTCTGGAAGTTTATGTAATACATTTTATTTGGCAGTATATTTTTATTCGTTTATGAGTTGCCTATGTATTTTGCAATGAACACTTTCAGCAGCAATGATCAGAACAGTTAATGTTTAATGAAAATTACATATAAATGTTCATTCCTCAAGAAAGCAGATAATGAATATATAATTTGCACAAAATGTGTACTTTCCATCGTGGGGTTACAATAACAAAATGGATCAAATGAATCTCCTCAGACACAGCTCTGCTGAAAAAGCATTAGCATCTACTTCAAAATTAGTAGTTTTAGCAAGATTATATGAAAAATGATGATTTAACATGTAAGTACTTCAGAAGCGCATTGACATTTTATTCTATGAAGCATGTCTTTTCATTTAAATCAAGTATATGCATTTTTAAGCTTTTTTTCATTTTAAATTTCAAGCTGTCTCAAGTAGATATCATAAGTGTTAAATTTTGCATCTTTTAGCAGAAGAGGAACTTTACAAACAGCTAAATAATACCATTGTCATTGAATGGTTCAAATAAAGTAAATAGTTAATTCTAATAATTTTTTTTTCCTAATGACTCATGGAATCCAACTATCACTTTTAGAATTTTTGTCTTTCTAAAACAAAATAGTTGACTTTATTGTCAATGCTGCTACAAGCTCAGTTAAAAAGCATACATTTTTAATTGAAAATATAGAAACACATTTTGGTGGAGGACAAAAGAGGTTGGATTTGGTGAAGGAAGAAGTAACTTGATTCTGTGGAGTAAAATGAAGAGATAATGGAGCTGTATGAGAAAAAATTATACATATTATTTAGGTTCCTTGATGCTATTGTTGAACACCAAACTGCTTATATAAAAGCTGCAATTCCACAAGACCAGACAAAGAAGTACTGGTGAATTGTAAACTAAACCATCTTTAGAAGTTGGCACACTACTAAAAAATAATTGTGTTCTAAATGGGAAGAGTAAAGAGGTTTTATTAAATACCAGGTTGAGTCATGAGATTCCTCCAGAAGAACCCTGCCTTAATAGTAGGGCTACAGTGGCTCAGGAAAGAGTTCTACAAAGCTTTAAGAGAGCTATGATAATCAAGCCACCTACAAATAATTAACTGCTGGCAAACCAAGTGTGGCAATATTCAAAGAAAAAAAAACACAAAAATTATCACTGAACAACTCAGAGTCACAATGTCAAGCATTTAATCAAAAATTAGTAGAACTATGGTGAAGCAAAAAGTTATGATTCAATAGCAGATAAGAAATGTCAGACAAAAGAAGTGGGCCCATAATTAAAGGAGATATTGGGATTAGCAGGTAAGAATTTTAATCTATTTTTTTTTAAACAAGCAATGGGGAAAGGATTCCCTATTTAATAAATGGTGCTGGGAAAACTGGTTAGCCATATGTAGAAAGCTGAAACTGGATCCCTTCCTTACACCTTATACAAAAATTAATTCAAGATGGATTAAAGACTTAAGTGTTAGACCTAAAACCATAAAAACCCTAGAGGAAAACCTAGGCATTACCATTCAGGACATAGGCATGGGCAAGGACTTCATGTCTAAAACACCAAAAGCAATGGCAACAAAAGCCAAAATTGACAAATGGGATCTAATTAAACTAGAGAGCTTCTGCACAGCAGAAGAAACTACCATCAGAGTGAACAGGCAACCTACTAAATGGGAGAACATTTTTGCAACCTACTTATCTGACAAAGGGCTAATATCCAGAATCTACAATGAACTCAAACAAATTTAGAAGAAAAAAACAAACAACCCCATCAAAAAGTGGGCAAAGGATATGAACAGACCCTTCTCAAAAGAAGACATTTATACAGCCAAAAGACACATGAAAAAATGCTGATCATCACTGGCCATCAGAGAAATGCAAATCAAAACCACAATGAGATACCATCTCACACCAGTTAGAATGGCAATCATTAAAAAGTCAGGAAACAACAGGTGCTGGAGAGGATGTGGAGAAATAGGAACACTTTTACACTGTTGGTGGGACTGTAAACTAGTTCAACCATTGTGGAAGTCAGTGTGGCGATTCCTCAGGGATCTAGAACTAGAAATACCATTTGACCCAGACATCCCATTACTGGGTATATACCCAAAGGACTAGAAATCATGCTGCTATAAAGACACATGCACACGTATGTTCATTGCGGCACTATTCACAATAGCAAAGACTTGGAACCCACCCAAATGTCCAACAATGATAGACTGGATTAAGAAAATGTGGCACATATACACCATGGAATACTATGCAGCCATAAAAAATGATGAGTTCATGTCCTTTGTAGGGACATGGATGAAATTGGAAATCATCATTCTCAGTAAACTATCGCAAGGACAAAAAACCAAACACCACGTGTTCTCACTCATAGATGGGAATTGAACAATGAGAACACATGGATGCAAGAAGGGGAACATCACACTCTGGGAACTGTTGTGGGGTGGGGGGAGGGGGGAGGGATAGCATTAGGAGATATACCTAATGCTAAATGATGAGTTAATGGGTGCAGCACACCAGCATGGCACATGTATACATATGTAACAAACCTGCACATTGTGCACATGTACCCTAAAACTTAAAGTATAATAATAATAAAAAAATTTAAATAAAAAAATAAATAAAAATAAAAAAATAAATAAAGAATTTTAATCTATCAAAAATTTATTAAATAACATTATATATGCATGTGAACTCATATGAATATACATAGGTAAAGCAATAGAAGATATATGAAATAATGAAATAGAACATTTTGAGTTAAAAAATAAAACCTCTGACCTAAATTCTACAGATAGGCTCAAGAATTGATTTGATGCTACAGAAAACAACAAATGTAAACAGTATGCTTGAATTCATAACAGTAGAAACTGGCAACTGAAGCACAGAAAAATAGAAAACTGAAAAGAAAATAGAGAGATAGTGGCATGTGAAAAATATCACTTTATCTACCATACATAACGGAAACCTGCAAATGGAGGTGGACATAAAATCATTTGAATAAATAATGGCTGAAAAAGTTTCCAATTTAATGGAAACCTAAGGAAACAAAAGCATTATTTCTAGTACTCTGAGAACCTAGGTCGATCTCTTTCTCTCTCTCTCTCTCTCTCTCTCTGTCTCTGTGAGACTGTATATCAATCTCTGTCTTTATCTCTCTCTCTCTCTCTCATATATAGTTCCCTCTTGAAGCATTTCTCTGTGTGTGTGTTTCTTTCTCATATGGCAAGCCTGAAAATTTGTCCTTTCAGATGTTTTGAACTTAGCTTATCTCTTTAACTTATTCAGGTTAAAATATCATACATGATATGAGCAGTAAACATTTTGTTAGTGGAGCTTTGCTTCTTAAGCATCACAACACTGTAGAATATTTTATTCTGCTGTTTCAATTTCCCATATTCATGCACGCCTCTAACATTTGGTAAAGGTTAGTGGGGAAAACTAGCTGTAATTTCTGTGTTCTTCTGGTTACAACTCCTTAAGCTATACCCCAAACTCCACTCTTTTCTATTTTCTGTATTAGAAACTTCTGACAATGGCAAGAGAGACAAGTTATCCACCAGTAACAGACTTAGAGAAGGTGTCCAAGGAAAGAAATCGCTAACCATTTCACCTCACCTAGAAAATGCTCTTCACTCTGCAAAATTTTTAACTTGTCTACACTTCTTTGTATCCATTACTTCTTTGTAGCCATTTAATGTTTTTAAACAATAGGTCACAATATTCTTTCCATTTAAATATTTCACATTGCCCGTTTTTAGTAGATAGTAGCTTGCATCCACTAAATCCTACTACATCCTACTCAGAAGCAACTGAGACCAGGCATTTTTAAATTTTTAGATTACACTAAAATATCCCTGTAATTATTTTGTCACCAAAATAAAAACAATGACCGTAATCTGTAAACTTTATTTTAAAAGACAACGCAATACAATATAAACTAAAGAAGGAAAGTGCTCAAAACAAGTTGATGGATAACAACATATGAAGAATACAGTCATTAGAAGAATAAACCAATCCATCAAATAAGATGGTTTTTACAGCAGACCATTTGCTCAAGGGCTTCCCACATATTCCCTTGCCAATGGGTTAGTCACCTCTAAAAAAGAACTTACGTTTCCTCTGGATTAATATTGTAGCCAGTGCTACAATATTTCATTTCTTTTTTATTATTATTATTCAATCTGAGCTCCTTCACTTACAATGACTACAAGGGGACTGTTTGTGAAAAGAACTTCTTCCAGGAACCTGGTGTAGATGCACATTCTTCAGAGAGTCCATCTGGGGGGTTACTTAGCCTACCACTTTTTACCTATTTACCAAGGGTTTTACTCTTCCAGGCTTGGATAATTATCCAGTTGTCCACATACTAAGAATAGAAGGGAAGAGTCTTTAGAAGTAATTCAACAATAAAAAAGGGATTTTGCTGAATATCCAGTCACACCAAGAATTTTGAGCCAATTTTGGTATGCCTTAAAATATTTTTTAACTACCTTTATTAGATTAAAGTAGTGCTTTTATGTGACTATAGATTTGCAAAAATTTAAGTGCAGTATTTTAATACTTGGAAGAATGTTTTCAAACAGTATTCTTATATGACTATAATGAGTAAATTATTTCCATTTCATTTTGTATCCTCATAGCTTAAAGATTATATTTTAATTTTAATAACCAGTCTTTTATAACCATAGCAGCAATTGGAATATTTATGAACAGTTCAGAATTGGAGATATTTTAAACTCTACAGAACATTATTTCACTGTAATTATGTGAGAAGGTAAATGTGAATGTAAATTGATAGTTATCTACATATATAGCAGTGAGGTAAAAAATGGGGAATTAGGGAATACAATGTGAATGGCACTCACTGCAAAAATGCTTACAACTAATAAAGGGAAATGGCATTTAATGATGCAGGCCTTAGATACTTGGGAAATTATTTTAACATCTCATTTTCTGACAATGGAAGATATTAGGTTTTACATTATGTTGTTTTTATATTGTAAATCTCTTTTGAAGATTGTATAAAGCCAAAAAACTATATATGTCTTTATGAGAAGCTAATGTTGAAACAGTCGCTAAATTTTGATAAGATTGATTCATTGAACATTTTTAATATGCACCTGGGATGTGTCACATATTGTCATAGTTCATATAGGGAAAAAATGAATATGCCACAGTGTCTCCTCAAAAGCCTCATGGTCTCTTAGGAACAAAAGCGAACAGAGCAGAAAAATGTAAAGCCACATAAAAATGAGAGTAATATAAGTGTAGAGGTATACGTAGGCTGAAGATAAACCATTTATAGAGATTAGTTCAACCTCTTATGGGTCAGAGAACAGAAGATTCTGAGAATATTTTGCTGTGCCTGGCAGCATGTAAAGGACTTTTCTAGACATATGAAGAGTATCATAGCTGCCAGTTATGGCACTCCTCGTATGTCTAGAAAAGTCCTTTGTTTATTTAACTTCATTGACTTAATTGATCAACTTCATTGCCAAGTCGGTCAATTAAGTCAATGAAGTTAAATAAATAACAATCAAGCCTTTATTCAGGTACTGAAAAATTATACGCAAGAGGCAGAAACCCTAGTGTTCCATTTTTCCCCCACAGAACAGCACATCTGATGAGGTTCACTCAGATGATACAGCAGTGCAGGCGAGGTAATTATTTCACCCCTGAGGAGCAGTAAAAAAAAGGTTCCGTGGGTCCGTCAAAAAACTAAGAGTACAAAAATACTGACTTGGAGAGGAGAAGAGTGCTTTAGTCAGGACTCCCTTAGAAAGAGACTCTAACAGAGGTGCCTGCAAAGTACCTCAGCCAAGCGTCTCCTCCAGAATGGAGACACTTGGGCTAGGAATACAGATATGTGCATGAACCGGCCCAGAGAAAGTGGGTCCTTGTCTGAAACTTTCTCCAGGAACTGCAATGCACACCACGTCTAGGGTGGGAGAACAACTTTTCCTATGATGCCTGCCAGGGCAAGCCTTGTAATTTCCTACAGTCGGGCCTGAAGGGTCAAAAGAAGGATTTTGGCCTAGAACTGGACTTCTCAATGAGAGGAAAGACAAGGGAAAGAATCATTTGGAAGTACGAAGTACTTTAGTGGTGTTAGAACACGGGGTATCTGAGGAAAGTGGTGGGAAGGGAAGCCCATAGTTATCATGCTGAGTAGCGAGGCAGAGGCCAGGCTGCAGAGACTTTCTGATCATAAGTACTTTGGCCTTCTTGGAACTGTTGGAGGAGTCAACCTTTTGTAGCTGGATATATGGCACCTGCCTGAAATGAGTGTATCAGCTTGGATATTTTGCTTCCAAGAAGAGGGGATAGATGAATGAGCTTTACTGATTAAGCTTTTGTCTATACGGGTCTAAGAACCAGACTCTAAACCCACACCAACTGAATTCAACAAAATAAATAAACCTTTTTTGCATAGAAATCCAGCGATCAATTCAACTAAATCAGGCATATTTTAACAACTTATTTATATTTTATTGTGATGCAGCCTGAGAGAGAGACTACGGTACAATTTAAATTCTATCACAATGACGATATATTTTAATTACCTTAGGGAAACAAAGATGCTTTCTTCATTTAAGTCAGCACATATAAAAAATGTTTTACTTCTTTCATTTAAATAAAAGAATTAATTTTCAATGGAAAGAACTTCAATGGCTATGTCAAGGGATTTGTATACATTATCTCATGTAATAATCACAGTGATCTTTTGAGATAGTACTTCAGATCCTTTTGCTGTTGTTGTTTTGTTTTGAGGTGTTTTATTTTGCAGGTGAGGAAGATAACACTTGAAGAGACTAGGTAAATAACCCAAAATACTACACACAGTAAATCGTACATATAGAACACCAAATCCAATGTCCTTTCAACATTGGATTATGGTGCTGATACTGAGCTGTTATCTTTACACATTTTCACCTAAAAGCAGATGCTTCTTATCTTTCCTATGTGAGTTTTCTGTGAATTCTATTCAGTTCTTTGGTTTTATCTGTATAGAAAGGCACCACAGAAAACAACCTGGAGTTTCTTAGATTCTTTCTGTCTCATATACTTTCAATGGCTTCTGTATGGTATCAAAAATAATTATATGGTATAGCAGAGAATAAAAAAAGATTAAATACAGTAAGCACATATAATAAATATCATTGAAAATATCATTTCAATGGCTTCTGTATGGTATCAAAAATAATTATATGGTATAGCAGAGAATAAAAAAATATTAAATATAGTAAGCACATATAATAAGTATCATTGAAAATGATGCTATTAATGATGAAACATAGATGAGAGGGACACAGTAGTGAAGGGGGAAAAAAGAGGTGGCATTTAGTAAAATTCAAAAGATATCCAAGTAAATGTTAAGTTTTAGAAGTCTGTTACATAGTGACAAAAAAAATAAGAGTTTTTTGCTTGTTTTGGTTTGTTTATTTTTGGATGCCATTTACAGCTGGTGACTTCAAAAATAAAGTGACATTAGTAGCATAGGGCTTTTGATGTAAAGATATTTTGCAGTTTCCATGGTTCTATACCCAGGATTGTTGGTTCTTTTTTTCTCAGCATAGATACTCAGGATATAAAAGTCATAACCTTACTTTCGACAAGACATAATTAGCAGGTTACGTCTAGAGTCAGGCACGTCTGGGTTATTTTCCTGGTGCTAGTATTTAATGTATTCATAATCTGAATAATTAGCAAAATGGGAGTGATGGTATTTATCTCAACAGGGTCTTTGTGAGGATTATATGAATTAAGGTCTAAAATACCCATAATTCATTAGAATTACTGGCCTACTCTAATCACCCAGTGTATTAGTCAGAGTTCTCCAGAGGGACAGAACTAATGGAATATATATATATATATATATATATGAATATATATGGGAGTTTATTAAATATTAACTCACAGAATCGCAAGGTCCTAAAATAGGCCGTCTGTAGGCTGAGGAGCAAGGAGAGCCCGTCTGATTTCAAAAAACTGAAGAACTTGGAGTCCTATGTTTGAGGGCAGGAAGCATCCAGCACGGGAGAAAGATGTAGGCTGGGAGGCTAGGCCAGTCTCTTTTTTCACATTTTTCTGCCTGTTTATATTCTAGTCTAGTCCTGCTGGCAGCTGATTAAATTGTGCCCACCCAGATTAAGGGTGGGACTGACTTTGCCAGCCCACTGACTCAAACGTTAATCTCCTTTGGCAAGACCCTCATAGACACACCCAGGATCAACACTTTGTATCTTTCAACCCAATTAAGTTGACAGTATTAACCATCACATCCAATAAATGGAAATTGTTCTGATTATTTCTACCTATACTAAAACTCATGGAAAAGAAAGGCTAACATCCCTCATATATGTATTCCTATGTTTAATTAGGCAAATTAAGGTTAATTGATGTTTGTGGACAATACTGGTTTGTGCAATTTCACTTATATTTTCCTACTTCATATTTACATCAGTGTCATAAGATTGCTATTATTTTATTGACATTTTCAAAACCAGGAAATTAAATTCTGATTGAGCTGTATACCTCTTTTCCAGAGTTGCAGAGTAGGTTATGCGTTTAAGATTCAAATATGAAGACCAGTCATTTTTTTTCAATATAACATCATCTCACGATTATTCTTTAATTCATTATTATCCACTGCTGTCTCATAAGCATAACATAGTATAAGAGAAAAGATGTTTACCAATGTAGTAAGACATTTTACATCCTCAGACCTGTGCCACTAACTCAGAGTGGTTATTTGGTTTCAGAACACTTGGAGTGTATAGCCTTGTTGAATTTGCCTTCTATCCCAGTCCCAAAATGTCTTACCCTCCTTAGTAATTATACTGTACACCAAGCAAAAATATAGCAATCATCCTAGATTCCATTCTCTCTCTCATTCAAATACTCAAGAAAATCCACCCAACTGTTAAGTCCATATTCTGAAATAATCGTGAATTCTATAACTTGTCACTGTGCTATTACTTCTCATTTGATGTTTCAATTGTCTCTGTACCTATTTGCCTATCCCAGGCTCAACTGCCTCAAATACACCATGTATACTGCTACCAGAGAGATGATCCCAAACTGTAATAATATCATGGACATCTCTTCTTGAAATTTTCAATGCCTCTGCACAGTCTAAATCATAAAACCTAAAGACTTATGTGGGGTGCATGAATCCTCCTATAATGTGGCTTCCACCCAAGTAGTCGTCTTGTCTCTTTCTAGTCAATATGTGATTTCCACCCTGTTGTCACACATCTCAGTGTTTTCACAACCCAGAATGCCTTTCTCTCACTAATATTTCTGATCAACTCTTCCTCAGACATTAGTTGGAAAGTCAGCTAGATGAAACATTTCTCTCTATTTCCAATTCCAATCTAGTTCCTCATTTAGGAACTCTTGAGATTATATAAAAGTATGTTACAGATAAATGAAGAAAACTACTTGGAACCTGAAGTTTATGTGTCATGCCAGATGTCTCCCACCCAAAACATGTACTTGAAGTCTTCTGAAATTGATAGATTAGGTATACAAAGAGGTCGCCCATTAATTAACATGGCAAATATAAATTTTATTTAGTTTTTTGTTTGTTTGTTCTTAGCTTTGCCTGATATAAAATAATTTAGCTATTAAAACAAATATAAATATAACATTGAAAAATCCAAATGTTTATGAAATTTTAACACACAATTGAAGTAGTAAACACAAGTGATGCCAGTGACTGGCTGTGACCAAGAAGCTACGGGGTATGGTTTTATTATCTTCACAAATAACTCAATAGAGAAACTTTAGAATTGTTATTCTAGATCATTAAGTCCCAGAAATTTCAATATTTGCTATTTAAACTTAGCTAATAATTGTGTCTCTATTTGGAATATAAGTGATCAAAAATCCCTGATTATAAAATCTATATTTTAGGTAAGGCACAGTGGCTCACACTTGTAATCCCAGCACTGGGAGGCTGAAGTGAGAGGATCACTTGAGGTCAGGAGTTCGAGACCAGCCTGGCCAACATGGCAAAACCCCGCCTTTACTAAAAATACAAAAATTAGCTTGGTGTGGTGGTGCATACCTGTAATCCCAGCTACTCGGGAAGCTGAGGCAGGAAAATCTCTTGAATCAGGGAGGCGGAAGTTGCAGGGAGCTGAGATCACACCACTGCACTCCAGCCTGGGTGACAGAGTAAGACTGTCTCAAAACAACAACAACAAACAAAAAAACCCTATATTTTAAGAATAAACATATATATTTAAAACCCCAATTTTGTTGTTGTTACTGGGAATATGAGAAACCTAATTTAACTTAAGCCATGTGTCAATTATTTGGAATATTTAGGCTTCTCCCCACAAAATTCAACTTTCATGCTGTAAAGGAAATTGAATGCACATTCTTTTATTTTTATGTCAAACCAATTTGTCATATTTTCTTAATTCAAGTTAATAAACATTAGTGACAAGGCCCAAATAAGGCTCTAGAAGTGGCATATGATAAATATTTTAGTGACTCTGCTCATGAGTAACGTGTAATGCATCTTTGTCTTAGTACCTGAGAACAATTGTTAAGAAACATTTGGTGATTTAAAAATAAAAAGAAAACATTTCTAAAAACGTTCCAAAATCGTGGGTATAGATGTTTAATGGGCTTTTCACAGAAAGATTCATAATATACCTGTCTGTTTAATGGGAAAACCACTTTCGAATTTGATCCGAATTAGAACTGTTCTTTCCCACTAAAGGAATTAAGTTCCTTCCCTTATCATAGCACAGCAGAAAACTCACTACACAGAAATAGACAGGCTGTTTGGAGGGGGTGGGTGGGATGGGGGCGGGTGAGAGAGAAACCTGCAGTGCTCGGAAGAAACTGTCAGATTATGAAGTGCTGCCGGCAAATAACCTCTTATAACAAAACAGTGTTGGTAAAACTTGAGAACATTCTTACGTACAAACTGACATTTAGGGACAGGAAACACACAAACAACAATGGAGTTGATTTTTTAGGGCGGAAATCAGTAGGGTCACAATAGGGTCAGTAGAATATGGAGGAAAAGAAATCCGGGCCAGAAAATAATCAAGGATGTTCTTATGGTCATATTGAACAGAAGATCTCACAGCTCGTCTAGTGACTTTAGAGTTCGTGTAGAGTCTAATGGTTCAATGTGTTTGTATGTGTAAACATGGATGGATAAATATAAATCTTTATATCATCCCCATTATATGGTCTGAATTTATTTCCATCTAGCTAATCTCTTTAATCTATTCCTGAAATCCTGAACAAGTAGATTAAACCTGATTATTTGGATTAGATCAAGAATCTTATTTTGAAAGTCAGAGAAATCATGTAACTGAAACCTCTTAGAGAATGCTGTGTTGAGAATTTTTTTTTTCTATTTAAATGTGCTACACCTTCTATTTTACCTAAACGAGTACCTTATCTTATGGTCTATTCCATATAATTCACCTCAAAGAAATCTCTAGACCTTAAAATGTCTATTCTTGGTGGCTTTATCCATTTATTCTTAGTTAATTTGTCTCACATGAATTTGTTTTAGTTCTGATTTTTTTTTCCTTTGTGTTTGAATAGCTAACACCTTCTTACCACACAGGATAAGTTGGACAAGACATATGTGATTCATTGATGAAATGGAAAAGATCTTGTCATATGAGGCTTTAACTGAGCATCTTAAGTTTGTATTCAGGCCGTTTAGCAGCCGTCCTTTTCTGCTTGAGGCAATATATAGTTTATTTCTCTTTCCTTCTTGGTGGTCAGTACTTCTTAGAAGAGCTTCCTGAAGAATGATGGCTATTAGTATAAATTTTAAGTCAGAAAAAAGATGCACATGGAAAATGCCCATGCTGTGCCAGCATGCTCTGGCAGATTTCTGTGATTTAGCATCCCTCTCTGGCAGTGTGAATTATAATTAAATCATAGACATATGGAAGGCGAGTAACTGAATGCCATTTGAGCTGTCTACATAGGGAGGAGGAGGTATGAAAAGTATGATATGGAAATGGTTTCTAAAATCATTTCTGGTTTCAGAAGGCAGATTGATAAAATACTGCTGTAGGTGGATGCTGTAAATCACTGGTCCGAAGGAATACTATCATGCAAGAACAGACTCTTTCTAAGAGATCATCATCTTGCCATCTCTCCACAGGTGGTCATCCTGAAAACAACTTGACCTGCGTAGCCTCAATTATCTGATGAGTTTATTGAACTTAAAAGACCAAGGGATCCTTTTTGATCAGGGTCTTACCACGAAATAGAAAACCATACATCATATAAAAGAATCCTAGATTTTGAGCTGAATGCGATCCTGAGAACTTGGAGCTACTTCTCTTAGTGAGGTGATGATGGCATTCCACATAAATTGTTACCTTTGAAAGAAGGAATATTGGGTAGTTAAAGGAATGATAGTGGCAGATAATGTGATCTGCTATACAAAGCCTCTCATATATATTCTTATCCCTTGGTCTGTCCTACCAGAAAGGCTAAAGTCATCAATTATTAATTTCCCAACCTCTCTTGTCACCATTTCTGATTAATGTGTTGAAAATGAAATTACTGAGAAAGGATTTTTTCTTGAGTTCATGAGAGAACCTCAGGGTTCCTTTGACCAATTCCCCCCTGTCTTTGAGCTGCCTGGATGGAAGGTGTAAGTACTGAAGTGGAGAACCCAAACTCAACCATGAGATGTGAAGGCAAAATACATATACTCAAGATGGCTGAATGGAAAACAAAAAAGACTGGATCATTAATGTCATTATTGTGTTGCTACTACCCATGTCTACCACTTAATGTTATGTTAAACAAATAAATCCCTAAATTGCTTCCCATGCCCTTGGTATAAAATTCAAACCTCTAATATTGCTTTGAGGTCTATCCCTGGTCTAGAAACACCATCTGGGCCTTTATCCACTAAACATGCTCCGGTCACCTCTCAGGTTGGTGTCTTTCCCTGCATTAAGTTCGTCATAAACTGTTGCACCTAAAATCTTCACATGTGATTGCCTTGGCTAGACCACTGTTTGCCTACTTTTTGACTGGTGACTACACCTAAAATTTTTATGTGTCATCTGAAGTTCTACTTGCTCAAATAATTCTTGCAAGGGCCCTATTTTAAAGAGATAAAATTTTAATTATGCATTTATTTGTTTGATGGTTTATTTAATGTCAGTATACCCTATTAGGCTGTAAGTTCCTATTTTACATTCCCCTAACTCCAGCAATTTCCATGGCACCTGGCATATACTAGTAAAACTTAATAAATATTTGCAGAATGAGTAAGCAAATGTAACAAATCAAAAATAAATTTTCTTTAGATATATGATTTTGTGATGTCATGATACTAAGATACAATTTCAGCGGGAAAAAAAAAGATCAGGTAAGAAGTTCCTAACCACCAAATATACTAATGTTTCTATTTTTGACTCAAATTTTCGTCTCCTCTAAGTGAAGTCTGTCTCTCTCCTCTATCAATGGCCCATAACTCTACTTATTAATTGGATCCCATACCTTCTCATATTCTCAAGGTTCTTACTCTTTCTCTTGTTAGAATAAAAATAGCACACTTGACTGGCATAATCAAGGAAGAAAGAAATAATTAATTCTAATATGACTTTAAAAAGGAATGTGAATTTAGTTCTATTTTTACTTGATCACCTCACATGCATGTAGAAAAGCTAGAGCAGATAATTCTTTCACAAATTAAAAAGCCCCAAACTTTTCCCCATGTAGCTAAATTTATCTAATCACTACAGCATAGTTGGATCTGTTTGTGCATATGTGTTTATGATTTTCATGTGGCAAATATTATTTTTGTCCTCAGATTTATTTTTTTATACCAGTCATAAAGATCATGCTAAATTAAATTAATTTTCAAATCCAAGAAAAAGATTAATCTGATAGTTTATAATTGGTTTGATAATACCACAAATTAAATTGGTTGTCTCTTAACATGCAAATTGGAACATTACAACTGAATGGGTTGGAGCGGACAAAAGATTAAAGATGATGATAACATGCCACCTTATCCCATTATTCTCCTCCATTTCTCTCTTTTATTGCCATATTATGACAAAAAACAGAGTAACAGTGTATTATTCTGTAGACCACTGCTGTTACCCTATTGGTCTTTTTATCTTCTTATATGAAAAGCTTTGACTGAGAAATTGAAAGATATCATCTGGTGAAAATGCCCAGTGTAAATTCTGTAATAGGTCTGGGATTAGTCTTCCATGTCTTTTCAATATTCAGAATGTTACCAAATACTCAAGTTATTTCTGTTGAAATTTTAATTACCGATGAGCTTATACAGAAATAGATAATTAATTCTGTAATCACTTGAATATAATTTTTCCACATTACTAGGTTGAAAACAGTGTTGTTTTACTCATTTCTTAATCGTTGTCATCATTATCAAAAATAATCTTGAGCACTTATTTTGTACTTTACTCTGTATAGTGTGTTATAGTATGCTTCTCAATTAATCTTTATTATAATCATATGATTTAGGTTTTATAGGCCCTAAAAGCAGCATAGTACAAAGAGACTAAAAAAAAAATCAATAACTTGTCCAGCCTTACAGAGCTAATTAATGGTGCACTGGAGCTTGTAAATGGAATTGGCTCTGATCTCAAAACTGGATATCTAAAGTGTAGCTTCCCATGCTAATTTACTATTCTGTATCTCCTACTTTTGAACAAAACACATGTGTCATGTAATTTTTGAGAAATAAATGGCTGGAGTTTGTCTTTTCATTTTTTTTAACTGACAAATAATTGTACCTATCCTTGGGGTACATAGTGATGTTTCAATACACATATGTATAGTGATCAGATCAGAGTAATTACTATATTCATCATCTCAAATATTTATCATTCTTTATGTTGGGAAGGTTCAATATCCTCCTTCTTGCCATGTGAAATGATATAACATAATATTGTTAATTATGGTCATCCTACAGTTGTATAGATCATAAGAACTATTAATATTTCTCCTGTCTAGCTGTAACTGTATGGAATCTGGCTTTTTTTTTTACAGAAAAGGTTATAAAATTATACATCAGGAATGTCTACTATAGCCAAAAAAAGTTTACTCTGTCAAATAAGTACATTCCTTCAGAAATTATTTTAAGCTTTTGATATGATTGAAATTTCATTCAGAAATGGCATTCGTATAGAATGGTTCAATAACATGTCATTTAGAAACAGAATTTATGGCTCAATAATTCAGGTGAAACCATTTTATATCCTTCTTGGAATCAAGTGAGCTCCAAATAAATCTTTACTTGATATGTAGCCCAGAGAATTTCATCAACGATAGGGTTAAGTAAAAATGATATAAAAAGAAAACTGTAAAACCTCTAAGCTTCCCAGACTAACATGAAGGACTTTGCCAATTTTAAGACCACATAAGCCTATAAAAATATTATCACAATTATTATTTATACATGTAAGTTTGATATTTTTCATTATATTTTATTTTAAAATTATGAATGAGTTGAGCTTGGGCATATTATACTATATCTTAAATAACATTTTGTGATTTCATAAATTTATAGAATCTACTTACTGAAATGTAGACATCAGTAATCTATAAGAACTACCAACCATTAATGATTCTACTCAGGGCTGGATGCAGTGGCTCAAGCCTGTAATCCCAGCACTTTGGGAGGCCGAGGCAGGTGGATCACCTGAGGTCAGGAGTTTGATACCAGTCTGGCCAACATGGTGAAACCCCATCTCTACTTAAAAAAAGTACGAAAAATTAGCTAGGCATGGTGGCAGGCGCCTGTAATTCCAGCTATGTGGGAGTCTAAGGAAGGAAAATTGCTTGAACCCGGGGGGCGGAGGTTGCAGCGAGTGGAGATTGCGCCATTGCACTCCAGCCTGAGCGACTGAGCGAGACTCTGTCTCAAAATAAATAAATAAATAAAAAGAAGAAGAAGAAGAAGAACCTTTTAAAATACTGAATTGTATGCCAGGCAAATAAGTGTTTTAAGAATCATTTATCTTCCAACAGTATTGCTTGCTTGGAATCTGGAAACAAGGACACCCCTTACTCTGCTTTACTAGCTCCGTGATTAGAGTTATAGCTGCATAGGAAATAGGTCTTGCTCATTTAAGCTGATTTTTAACAGCTTAATTTAAGTATATTTTACGTACCATAAATAATTTCTTTTATGTCTACAATTGAATGATATCTAGTAAATTTCCAGAGTACCATAGCTTTGAATTTAGATCAAGCTGATTCCTCTGACCTTTTGTAAACTGGCTCTAGAGGCAGAAAAATACTCCATCAGTCATTTACTTATTAATTAACAGTACTTTTAGAGGATCTATTTCCTGTTGATACTGAAATGTGTAAAGGCATATTAAGATAATAGTAATCAATAAAAATAACAGTAGTTAAGAATAAATGGGTCCTTTTAATATCTTAGAAATTCTAAGTGATTTATATGTGTTAATACTTTTACTTCTCACAACAAGCCATGATAGTTGTAATATTTCTATTTTATGTCTGAACAAACTGGTCACAGAGCATTAGAAAAACGTGTATGTATTCTCAATTAATGAGTAATGTGGCAAGACAGAGCAAGCTGGCCAAATAGAGCCCACCAGCGATCATCCCCCAGCAAAAATACCAAATTGAACATCTATCCGCACAAAAAACATCTTCATAAGAACCAAAAATCAGGTGAGCGATGACAGTACCTGGTTTTAAGACCATGTCAGGAACCAACAGGTGCTGGAGAGGATGTGGAGAAATAGGAACACTTTTACACTGTTGGTGGGACTGTAAACTAGTTCAACCATTGTGGAAGTCAGTGTGGTGATTCCTCAGGGATCTAGAACTAGAAATACCATTTGACCCAGCCATCCCATTACTGGGTATATACCCAAAGGACTAGAAATCATGCTGCTATAAAGACACATGCACACGTATGTTTATTGCGGCACTATTCACAATAGCAAAGACTTGGAACCAACCCAAATGTCCAACAATGATAGACTGGATTAAGAAAATGTGGCACATATACACCATGGAATACTATGCAGCCATAAAAAATGATGAGTTCATGTCCTTTATAGGGACATGGATGAAACTGGAAACCATCATTCTCAGTAAACTATCGCAAGAACAAAAAACCAAACACCGCATATTCTCACTCATAGGTGGGAATTGAACAATGAGATCACATGGACACAGGAAGGGGAACATCACACTCTGGGGACTGTTGTGGGGTGGGGGGAGTGGGGAGGGATAGCATTGGGAGATATACCTAATGCTAGATGACGAGTTAGTGGGTGCAGCACACCAGCATGGCACATGTATACGTATGTAACTAACCTGCACAATGTGCACATGTACCCTAAAACTTAAAGTATAATAATAAAAAAATAAATTAAAAAAAAAAGAATCAAAGTGAAAAAAAAAAGAAAAAGATCATGTCAAGGAAAGAGGCACCAAATAAGGTAAGAAAAATAGTCTTGATTCACTGACACCCCCTTCCCAATTCCCTGGTAGTGCAGTGTGGCACAGAGAGAGAATCTGTGCACAGTGGGAGGGAGAGCACAGTGATTGCGGGTCTTTGCATTGGAACTCAGTGCTCCCCTGTCACAGCAGAAAGCAATACAAGGCAGATTTCAGCTGGAACCCATGATGGTAGCTTTTAGACCGGCCCTAGCCCTAGGGGAATCCTCCATCTATGTGGTCAGAACCTGAATTCATGCTAACCCTACCACCACAGGATAAAGCGCTCTGGGGTTCTAAATTAATTTGAAAGGTGTTCTAGGACAGAAGAACTGCAATCACTGGGCAAGCCCTGGTGCTGTGCTGGAGTTGGAGCCAGTGGACTTGGGGTACACATGACCTGGTGAGACACCAGCTGGGGCACCTGAAGGGAAGTAGCCATTCCTGGCAGAATTCACGACTTGCTGACTAAAGAGCCCTTGGGCCTTGAATAAACATCAGTGGTGGCCAGGCAGCAGTCATCACCCAATATTGTGCTGGCTCCAGGTGTGACCCAGTACATTTCAAATTGTGGTGGCTTTGGGGAGAGACTTTTTCTACTTGAGGAAAGGAGGATAAAGAGCAAAAGGGACTTTGTCTTGCAACTTGGTTACCAGGCCAGCCAAAATAAAATAAAGCATCAAGCCCACTACTAAAGTCCCTGATTCCAGATCTTAGATGCTGGAGGGCATTTCTAGATCCACCCTAAGCCAGGAGAGAAACTACTGCCCTGAAGGGAGAGACCCAGGCCTGACCAGACTCACAGCGTGCTAACTAAAGAGCTTGTGGGCCTTGAATAAACATGAGCAGTAGCCAGGCTGTGGTCTCTAGTCACCATGTGCCTGGGTTGGTGTTAGCCATGGACAGAGACTTCTTCTGCTTGAGGAAAGGAGAGGAAAAATAAAGAGGACTTTGTCTTGCAATCTGGTTACTAGCTCAGCCCCAGTAAAATAAAGCACCATGCAGATTCCTAAAGCTGCCAATCCTAGGCCCCAGTTCCTGGACAGCATTTATAGACTCACCCTGGGCCAGAATGGAAACTGTTGTACTGAAGGGAAAGATCCAGTCCTAGCAGGATTCATAACCTACTGACTAAAGAATCCTTGGGCTTTGAATAAACATCAGCAGTCACCAGAAAATAGTTTCCACAGGCCTTGGGCAAGACCAAATACTTTGTTCACTTAGGGTGTGACCCAGCATAGTCACGGCAGTGGTGGCCACAGCAGTGCTTGTATCACCTATCCCCCAACTCCAGGGAGCTCAGCAAGGATAGAGAGAGACTCCGCTTGTCTGGGGAAAAGTATGGGAAAGGAACAAGAGACACTACTGGTAATCCAGCGAAATTTCCCAGATTTTTCCCAAGACTACCAAGGTGGTACCTCTATGAATCTACAAAAGTCACAACATTACTGAGATTGGGGTGACCCCTAATGCACATATAGCTGCATTGACCAAAGACTTAGATCACAAAATTCAATTTCCTTCAAATACTTGGAAAGCCTTCTCAAGAGGGGTGGATACAAACAAGCCCAGACTAAGAAGATTAAAGTAAATACTAACTCTTCAATGCCCAGACTGATGAATAGCCACAATAATCAAGACCATCCAGGAAAACATGACTTCACCAACAACAAAATAGGGCACCAGTGAGCAATTCCAGAGTGACAGATATATGTGGATTTTCAGACAGACAATTAAAAATAGCTCTTTTAATCATGCTCAACAAAATCCAAGACAATACAGAGAAGGAATCCAGAATCCTATCAGATAAATTTAACAAAAAGATTGAAATAATTAAAAAGAATCAAACTGAAGAATGCATCAGAGTCTCTTAACAGCAGAATTTATCAAGCAGAAAAAAAATAAGTGAGTTTAACAGCAGACTATTTGAAAATAGACAGAGAAGTCAAAAGAATAAAGAAGAACAGAACACAAAAAAGGATCCAGAAAGTAACCTCAAAAATGTAACTCTAGAAGATATCGGCCTTAAAGAGGAGTTAGAGAAATCAAGGTAGAAAGTTTATTTGAAGCGATAATAACGGAGAATTTTCCAACCCCACAGAATGATATCAGTATTCAAGTATAAGAAAGGTATAGAACACCAAGAAGATTTAACACAAACAAAACTACCTCAAGACCTATAATAATCAAACTCCCAATGGCCAAGGATAAAAAAATGGATACTAAAAGCAGCAAGATAAAAGAACCAAATAACATATAAAGGAGCTCCAAAATGTCTGGCAGCAAAGTTCCAGTGGAAATATTACAGGCAGGAGAGGGTGGCATGATATATTTAAGTGCTGAAGGAAAAAACTTTTATCTTAGAATAATATATCTAGTGAAATTATCCTTCAAACACTAAGGAGAAATGACTTTTCCAGACCCTAGTCCACCCTCACCCCCCAAAAGCTAAGAGATTTCGTCAATACCAGACCTGTCCTACAAAAAAATGCTAAAGGGAGTTCTTCATTCTGAAAGAAAAGGATGTTAATGAGCAATAAGAAATCATCAGAAAATATAAAATTCATTGGTAACAATAAGTACACAGAAAAATAAACAAAATTCTAATACTGTCATAGCTGTATGTAAACTACTAATATATAGTATATGTATTATATATATATATACTAATAACTTCTTCAGTAGGAAGACTGAAAGATGAACTTATCAAAATAATAGCTACAACAATGTTTTATGACATAGGCAGTATAATAGGAAGTATATAGAAACAACAAAATAGCAAAAAGTGAAGAGAACGAAGTTAAAGTGTAGAGTTTGTAATAGCTTTTTCTTTGCTTTTTAGATTGTTTTTGCAATAAGAATTAAGTTGTAATGGATTTTTATAAGATGTTATTTCAAAGCCCCATGGTAATCTTAGCAAAAGTACAAAAGATACATAAGAAGTAACAATCAAGTAATTAATATCTACCACCATAGAAAATCATCTTCTCTAAAAGAAAGACAGGAAGGAAGGCAGGAAGAGAAGACCATGAAACAACTAGAAAACAATAACAAAATGGCAGGAGTAGGTTATTACTTAGCAATAATGATATTGAATGTAAATGGACTAAACTTTCCAATCAAAAGACATAGAGTGGCTGAATAGATTTTAAAAAACAAAACCCAATGATCTGTTTCCTATAATAAACACAATTCACTTATAAAGATACACACACTGAAAATAAAGGCTTGGAAAAAGATATTCCACACAAATGGAAGCCAAAAAGGAGATGGAGGAGCTATACTTGTTCCAGGAAAAAATAGATTTCAACATAAAAACTAGAAAAAGAGACAAATAAAGTCATTATATGATGATAAAGCTATCAATTCAGCAAGAGAATGTAACAATGTTATAGAACATGTCATCCAACAGCTTTCCCCTTAGAACAGGAATTATTCTCAAAGATAGGTCATATGTCAGGCCACAGAATAAGTCCTAAAAATTTCAAAAAAGTGGAAATTATATCATGTATCTTCTCTGACCACAATGAAAGAAAACTAGAAATCTATCACAAGATGAATTTTGGACACCATACAAATACATGGAAATTTAAAAATATGCTCCAAAATGACCAGTTGGTCAATGAAAAAATTAAGAGGAAAATTTAAAAATTTAGGGAAACAAATGAAAAGGGATGCACAGCATACCAAAACTTACAGAATACAGCAAAAATAGTAATAAGAGAAATGTCTACAGCAGTAGTGCCCATAGCAAAAAAGTACAAAAAGTTCAAATAAACCACCTAATGATATATCTTAAAGAGCTAGAAAAGCAAGTGCAAACTAAACACAATATTAGTAGGAAAAAAGAAACAATAATGATCAAAATTGAAATAAAAATACAAAATATTAACTAAATTAAAAGTTTTTTTGGAAAGATAAACAAAATTGACAAACCTTTAGCCAGGCTAACTAAGGAATAAAATAGAGGAAACCCAAATAAATAAAATCAAAAATGGTAAAGGGGAGATTACAATTGATTTCACAGAAATTCAAAGGATCATTAGAGTCTACTATGAGCAACTATATGCCAATAAATTGGAAAACCTACAAAAAATGGATAAATTTGTAGACATATACAACCTGCCAAGATTAAACCATTAAGGAATCCAAAACTTGAATAGACTAATAACAACTAATGAGAGCAAAGCTGTAATAAAAAGTCTCCCAGCAAAGAAAAGCCTGGGACCCAAAAGCTTCACTGCTGAATTTTACCAACCAATTACCAATTAGTTTTATTTAAAAAGAACGAATACCAATCTGTCTCAAACTATTTGAAAAAAATAGAGGAAGGAATAATTCCAAACTCATTTAAGAAGGTAGTATTACTGTGATACCAAAACCAGATGAAGACACGTCAAAAAAAGAAAACTACAGGCCAATATTTCCAATGAACTCTGATGTGAAAATGCTTAACACAGTACTAGCAAACCAAATTCAACAATACATTAAAAAGTTCATTTATCATAAAAAAGTGGAATTCATCCCTGGGATGCAAGTATGTTTCAACATAGGCAAATTAATCAATGTGATACATCACATCAACAGAATGAAGGTCAAAAACCATACAGTCATTTCAATTGATGCTGAAAAAACATTTGATAAAATTCAACATCATTTCATGATTTAAAAAATGGGTATAGAAGCAACATACCTCAATACAATAAAAGCCATATATGACAGTCTCACAGCTAGTATCACACTGAGCAGGGAAAAACTGAAAGACTTTCCTCTAAGATCTGGAATCAGACAGGATGCCCACTTTCATCACTGTTATTTAACATAGCCCTGGAAGTCCTAGCTACAGCATCAAATGATAGGAAGATATAAAAGCTATTCAAATTAAAAATGAATAAGTTAAATTATCCTTGTTTGCAGATGATATGATCTTATATTTGGAAAAACCTGAAGACTCCACAAGAAAACTATTCAAACTGATAAATTCAGTAAAGTTGCAGGATACAAAATCAACATAAACAATCAGTTGTATTTCTGTATGCCAACAGTGAACAATGTAAAAAAGAAATCAAGAAAGTAACCCCATTTACCATAGCTACAAATAAAATAAAATACCAATAAATTAACTTAATGAAAGAAGTGAAAGATCTTCACAATGATGCAAGAAATTGAAGAGGACACAAAAAATAGAAAGATATTCCATGTTCATGGATAGTAAGAATCAATATCAAAATGTTCTTACTAGCCAAAGCAATCTACAAGTTCAATGCAATTCCTATGAAAATATCAATGACATTCTTCACAGAAAAGAAAATAAATATTCTACAACTTATACCTAACCCCAAAAGACCTAGAATAGTCAAATCTATCCTGAGCAAAATGAACAAAATAAATCACATTTGGAGGAATCACATTACCTTATTTCGATTTATTCTGCAGAACTACAGTAACAAAAACAGCATGGTATTTGCATAAAAGACACATAGATCAATGTAACAGAATAAAGAACCTAAAAATAAATTCATACATCTACAATGAATTCAGTTTCAGCAAAGGTACCAAGAACACACACTGGGGGTAAGGACAGTTTCTTCAATACCTGGTGTTGTGAAAACTAGATATCCATATGCAGAAGGATGAAACTAGACCCTTATCTCTTGCTATATACAAAAATCAAATCAAAGTGGATTAAATATTTAAATCTAAGACCTCAAACTATGGAACTACTAAAAGAAAACTTTGGGGAAACTCTGTAGATCATTGTCTGACTCTAGATTTCTTTAGTAACACCCCAAAAGCTTAGGCTACTGAAGCAAAAATGGATAAATTGAATCACATCAAGTTATTAATAAAAGTTTCTGCACAGCAAAGGAAACAATCAACAAAGTGAAGAGACAACACACAGAATAGAATACAATATTTGCAAACTCTCCACCTGGCAAGGATTAATAACCAGAATATATAGGGAGCTCAAACAGTATGAAAAAATCCAATAATCTGATTAAAAAGTGGGCAAAAGATCTGAATAGACATTTCTCAAAACATACAAACAGCAAACAGGTATATGAAAAAGTGCTCAACATCATTGATCATCAGAGAGATGCTAATTAAAACTACAATGAGATATAATCTCACCCCAATTAAAATGGTTTTTCTCCAAAAGACAGGCAATAACCAATGCTGGTGAAGAAGTGGAGAAAGGGGAACTTTCATACATTCTTGATGGGAATATAAATTAGTACAACCCCTAGGGAGAATGGTGTGGAATTTCCTCAAAAACTAAAAGTAGAATTTCCATATAAACCACCAATCTCACTGCTAGATAAATAACCAAAAGAAAGGAAATCAGTATATTGAAGAAATACCCTCACTTCCATGTTTATTACCCAATATCTGAAATCAACCTAGGTTTCCATTATCAGACAAATAGATAAAATAAATGTGGAATATATACACAATAGAGTTTATTCAGTCATAAAAAGAAGGAGATCCTGTTCTTTGCAACAACGTTGATAAAATTGGAGGATATTATATACCTTAAGTGAAATAAGCCTGGCACAGAAAGACAGACTTCACATGCTCTCACTTGTTTGAGCTAAAAATTAAAATAACTGAACTCATGGACACAGAGAGTATAATGATCGTTGCCAGAGGCTGGGAAGGGTAGTTGGATGGTGGAGGGGAGGGACATGGTTTTAGTGGGTACAAATGTATAGTTAGATACAATGACTAAGATCCAGTATTTTATAGCACATCAACGTGACTGTGGTCAGCAACAATTTGTTGTACAATTTCAAGTCAATGAGCCAGTAAAATTGAAATGTTCGTAACATGGAGAAGTGATGAATGCTTGAGGTGATGGATACCCCATTTACCTTGATACTATTATCACACGTTGTACGCCTGTATCAAAATATGTTTGTATCCAATCAATATACACCTACTATCTACCCATCAAAATTAAAAATTAAAAAAATCAGTAGGTGATGTAGCAGAATATGGCCACTACATTCCAAGTCCCTCTGAAAAACAAACCAACAAACTACTAATAAAATTAGCCTCCATTACTCATATCCCCCTGCAGTTAAAGTGTTAGGAATCTACACACTCACACATACACATTTACACATTTTTGAAAGAGTCGCTTACACTTTGTTTCTATATCTTCACCTCTCATTTTATATTCATCCACCTTGAAGCATGTTCCATCACTATTGCTGTGTTGAAACTTATCAAAGACATATCAAGGCCTGCATGTTATTACATTCTGTAGTCACTTCTCAGGAACATTCTGTGCATGTACATCTCTTTTCTGTAATGATTTTTCTCAGATTCCATGATATCACAATTTCTTGGTTTTAGTTCTATCTTCTCAGTCCCCTTTGTTCTAGATCCATCTTCTGTTCAACATCTAAATATTGTAGGGCCCTACAATTCTCTATTTGGCTCTATATTATCTCCTTTTTCTAAACTGCTCTTTGCATATCCACATAGTTTCGCACACCATTGACATCTGCTTTCCTATCTATATATGTGATATATCCACTCTTTAAACTTGTGTATTTGACTATTTGACATTTCTTTTTGGATGTGTCATACCCATTTCAAACTTAACAAAAGCAGAACTTTTGTGTGTGTGTTGTGGAGGCATCTAACTCCACCCCAAATTATTATTTTTCTTTATTCTTCAAGTTACCGTATATATTATTTTGCCAAATAATGTTTCTGAACAATGATTCCACCACTTATGCACTCCTCCCCAGTAAAAGAAGATAAATCTTATATTTGGTGAATTATAAATCTAATCAATTTCTCTCTTGCATTCTCTCTCTTTCTCTCTCTGTCTTTCCCTCCCTCCCTTGTTATTTTTGATTATCACAATGTCAGCATATAGATGTTTTTTCTTTTTCACTCTGAAACATGGCAAATGGCCTGCTCCAATGGAACTACTCTACAGTTAAATTTTATAGCCCTTATCCAATTAATGTATTTAATTCATGGTGGTGTTAACAAATCAGTTGTGATCCAAGCTCTATTCTGTAATTCAGCTTATCAGTAATAATGCTTTCCGCCTGTCTGACACCTGTTTATTTATCAGTTTGTCTTGAACTTTTAGGACATTGAGGAGCTCTGATTAATTATCACCCTCAAAAATCAACATTTTTTCATCTCAGTAAATGACGTCTATATTTACTTAGTTGCCTAAGCCAAAAACCAAGGAGTCTTTTAAAAATTATTATTACCTCTCTCTCTCTCTCTCTTTTTTTTTTTTTTTTTTTTTTTTGCGACAGGGTCTCCCTCTGTCACCCAGGCTGGAGGGCGGTGCATGACCTCGACTCACTGCAACCTCTGCTTCCCGGGTTCAAGAGATTCTCCTGCCTTAGCCTCCTGAGTAGCTGGGACTACAGGTGCACACCACCATGCTCAGCTAATTTTTGCATTTTTTTGGTAGAGACGGGGTTTTACTGTGTTGGCCAGGCTCGTCTCAAACTCCTGGCATCAAGTGATCTGCCAACCTCAGTCTCCCAAAGTATTATTATTATTTTTAATTGATGTGAAATAATTGTACTTATTTATGGGGTACAGTGTGATATTTAGATACACGTATACAATGTGTCATTATCAAATCAGGGTAACTAGAATATATATAACCTCAAACATTTACCATTTATTTGTGATGGGAGCATTCAAAAACTGCTCTTCTAGCTATTTGAAAACATACAGTAAGTTGTTTTTAACTATAGTCACTATACAGTGCTCTAGGACACTAGAATTTAATCCTCCTGTCTAGTTATACTATGGTACCTGTTAACCAACCTCTTCCTATCCTCCCTCCATCCTACCCTTCCTAGCCTCTAGTAACCACTCTTCTACCCTCTTTGTGTATTCTGCATATTAATTAGTCCTTTGTCAGATGAATAGTTTGCAAATATTTTCTCCCATTCTACAGGTTGTCTCTTCACTCTGCTGATTGTGTATTTTGCTGTTCAGAAGCTTTTCAGTTTGATACAGCCTCACTCGCTCATTCAGGGTAAGGATGCCTTCATAAAATGAGTTTCGTTCACTTCAGTTTTTTGAATAATTTGATAAGAATTGGTATTAGTACTTTTTAAAAAGTTGGTAGAATTCATCAGTGAATCCATCTAGTCCTGGACATTTTTTTGGTTTCTTTTTTACTGATGGGAAACTTTACTCCTGTTACACATTATTGATCTGTTAGCCTTTCAGTTTTTCTTCGTTCAGTCTTGGTAGGTTGTATGTGTCCAGGAATTTATTAATTCCCTTCAAGTTTTCTAATTTGTTGGTATATAGTTTTTCACAATAGATACTAATGATCCTTTTTATTCCTGTGGTATCAGTTTTAATGTCTCCTGTTCATTGCTGATTTTATTTATTTGGGGCTTTTATTTTATATCATTTTTTGTTAGTCTAGCCAATAGTTAATCAAGTTTATCTTTTCAAAGAACCAACTTTCTGTTTCATTGCTCTTCTGTGATATTGTTTTAGTAGAAAATTAGAGGAAGGCAATAAATAACTAAACATCTGCTTTGATGTTTCTTAGTTATTGCCTTCTATTTTTTTTTTGCCTTTCTTCTTTTTTGAAGCGTATCACTAGATTATTATTTCAAGTATTTCTATGTTTTGATGTATGTGTTTATTGTTATGAACTCTCTTATTACTTATTTTGCTGTATCCCATAGGTTTCAGTATGTTGTGTTTCTATTTCCTTTTGTTTCAATAACTATTTTTAATTAAAAAAAATTTTTTTTTGCTCATTGGTCATTCAGGATTACATTGTTTAATTGTTATGTATTTGTACAGTTTCCAAAGTTTCTGTTGTTATTTATTTATAGTTTTATGTGGTCAGAAAAAAATTTGATAAAATTTTGAATTTTTAAATTTATTGAGACTCGTTTTATGGCTTAACGTGGTTAATCCTGGAGAATGTTTCATGTGCTTATGATAAAAAATTGTATATTATTGCAGCTTTTGGATAAAATATTCTGTGAAAGTCTGTTAGATCTATTTGGTCAGTGCAGTTTGAATCCAATATTATTTGTTGATTTTCTGTCTAAATGATTTCTACACTACTAAGAGTGGATTATTGAAGTCATCAACCACTATTATACTAGACTCTATCTCTCCCTTTAGATCTAATAATATTTGCTTTATATATCTGGGTGCTTCTGTTTTGGGTGCATGTTTATTTACAATTTTAAATTTTCTTACTGAACTAATGGTTTCATTATTATATAGTGACCTTCTGTGTCTTTTCCTATAGTTATTGACTCAAACTCTGTTTTATATAAGTATAGCTAGCTGATTTATGCTCACTTTTGGTTTCTGTTTGCATAGAATATATTTTTTTATCAATTCACTTTTAGTCCTATTTGTTTCTTTACAGGTGAAGTAAATTACTTGTAGCAGCATTTAGTGTTTTCTTTTTTTTCTTTTTTTGGGGATTTCACATTCAAGGTTATTATTGATAGATGAAAAATCACTCCTGTCATTTTGCTGTTTTCTTCTTATCTTGCTTTTTCTTTCTTTTTTTTTATCTTTGCGGTTAGTTGCATTTCTTTAGTGATAAAGATTGATTCTTTTCTCATTTGTGTATCTGCTCTACCAGTGAGTTTTATATTTTTGTGTAATTTTATGATGGTAGTTATTATCTTTCTACTTCCAGATATAGGACTGCCTTAAGCATTTATTGTAAGGCCAGTGTAGTGGTGATGAATTTGCTCAGTTTTTACTTATCTTGGGAAGGCTTTATTTCTCTTTCAGTTTTGAAGAATAGCTTTCCTGAGTATAGTGTTCATGGCTAGCAGATTTTTCTTTTAGCATTTTAAATATACCTTTCCATTCCCTCCTGGACTGTAAGATTTCTGATGAGAAATCTGTGGTTAGAAATCTGCATTTTTCATCTCTTCTCCTTCAGAAACATCTATAATGCAAAAATTTGTTTGTTTGTTTCCCATAAGTCCAGAAGAATTTATTTTTCCTTTTTTATTCTTTATTCTTTTTTTTTTTTTTTTTTGGCTACCTCGATCATTTCAAGAACCTACCTTCAAGTTCAGAAATTATTCTGCTTTCTCTAGTCTGCTACTGAGGCTCTCAACTGTAGTTTTTATTTCACTTCATTCTCCATTCTAAGATCTCTCTTTGGTTATTTTTTATATCACTTATCTCTGTTGAATTTTTCACTTATCAGGAATTGTTTTCTTGATTTTATTGAATTGTCTTTTTATTTTCTTAAATTGTGTTGAGTTTCCTTAAGTTGTTGTCTTTCTTCTCTGGCATTTCATATATTTCTTTTCTTTGTGGTTTGTTACTGAAGAATTATTGCGTTCTGTTGGAAGTGTCATGTTTTCTTCCTTTGCCACGTTTTTTTCTGTTGCTACATTTACCCCTGCACATGTGTTAAAACTGGAAGAAGCAATTTTTCTACCACATGTGCAGGGGGCAAATGTAGAAACACAAGAGCAGCTTTCCTAAAAAGAGAGGCTTATTACCATAAATGGGTCCCATGGTGTTGGTTGAGTGGAGTGCATTTGCTTTGGTTCTGGGTGGACCCAGTAATTTAATTTTTGTGCTGATTCATCAGACATACTCCAAATTAGAGATAGGTATGAGTGCCTTGGTGGCCTAAGCTGTGGGAGTTTTTGGCAATGGTGGTGTGACATTTCTGGGAACTGGTCCACCAAGCTGTTTCCTCAGCTAATTGTATATGTATATGGTGGTTGGAGGGTGGATACACTGAGGATATAATTTCCAAGTTGGTTCTCTAGCCGGATACATGGGCATGCAGTAGTTCACCTCACCCAGAGTTGGCTTCTCCACTGTGTAGAAATGTATAGGAGTACCTATAGGTATACTCCTATACACTCCACTGTGTAGGAGTGTATAGGAGTACCTATACCAGGGTCATGGCTGTTCTTGGGCCTAGGCTCTGAGAAGCCAGGGTTGTGGTATTATAGCTGCCCCTGTGAGAGTGGTGGTATAGCAGCAAATCCTCAAGGCTGAAGAGGCACAGCGGCTCCTGGCTTTCAGAGAAGGGTACACGCCAGCAGTGGCTGCAGCTTTAAGATAGCACCATGCTGCAGCAGCTTGAGCCGTGGACATTGGAGAGTGTCCATTATGTGCTACTACTCTGTAGTGGCACAGCAACGTAAATTCCAGGCGGCTCCCAAACTCAGCTCATAACTTGTGAGGATGGTGGGATTTTCTTGGGGTAAGGACTGCAAATATCTGTGGTAATAATGGAGGCTGTTGGAGGCCTTCGGATTACCTATTCCCTGCAAAAAGAAGTGTCTCCCAGCTCTGAGCCAGTCTCAGCAGCGAAGATGGGGTGCAGCGAAAACATGAAGAGGCAGATGCCCGGGATGTACTGGGCATCCATGTTTTATAGGAATCTTGCTACTCCTTTGTTGCACTCCAGTGCTCTTCCTCAAACAATCTGGTAAAGTTTTAGTTTATTTTTGTTTTGTCCTTTTCTGTGAAGGGTGGGGCAAGCACCCAGCACCTGTAGTCAGACATCTTGCTGATGTCACTGTTATTTTTCTTTACTTTCCTACAGTCATGTATCTTACTTCTCTTTCCATGTTTGTTTATTGTCACTGCCACTACTTCTATTATACTAAGGCCATCATTATATACCACTTGGAACACTCCAATATTCTTCTAATTGGAATTCTCCTACAACTTGTCCTTTTTCATGTGTAAATTATATCACATAAATTACCTCTCTCCAATCCGTAGTTTCCCATTAGACTCTCCCCTCAAATCATAAGCACTCAAATGAATAAACACCCACAATAACAAATACCTCCTTACCGTGTCCTATAGTTTCCCACAGAATCTGGTTTCTATCTTTCTTTCACATCTAATTTCTTGCCACTCTTTTCTTACTTAATAAGATATAGCCACACTTCACTTTCTCCAGATTTTTCAGATGTAACAACCTTGTTAGCACTTCTTTTTCCCACTTCTTTCAAACCTTCTCATAGTTATTACTTCTTGCACTCCAGGTCTCAGATTGAATAACAAACTTTGAGAAAAAACTTCTTATGCTTCTCCTGCTAAATACAGTAGTCATCACCACCATCTGCCATATTACTGTTTATCATATTTTCTGTTATGTTTATTTAGGATATTAATAAATATCTAAAAGGACATTGTTAATTTATTTGTGCACTTGCTTATTTTGTTTCATCAAAAATATAAGCTTCAGTATAGGTGCCACATATGTCTTGTTCAACCAAATATTCTTAAAACCTGAAAAAATAGTAGGTACTCCAAATAAATTGGTACTGCAGACAGTGTAGTACTGCTATAAAGCTACTTGAAAATGTGGGAGCAGCTTTGGAACTGGGTAACTGGCAGAGGTTGGAATAGTTTGAAAAGCTCAGAGGAAGACAGGAAGATGTGGGAAAATTTGGAGCTTCCTAGACACTTGTTGGATGTTTTTGAACAAAATGCTGATAGCCATGTGAATAATGATGTCCAGGCGGAGATGGTCCCAGATGGAGATGAGGAACTAATTGCGAACTGGAGTAAATGTCACTCATGCTGTGCTTTAGCAAAGAGACTGGTGGCTTTTTGCCCCTGCACTAGAGATCTGTGGAACTTTGAACATGAGAGAGATTATTAAGGGTATCTGGCAGAAGAAATTTCTAAGCAGCAAAGCATTCAAGAGGTGACAGAAAATAAAAGTTTGGAAAATTTCCAGCCTGACCATACGATAAAAAAGAAAAACCCGGCCGGACTCAGTGGATCATGCCTGTAATTCCAGCACTTTGGGAAGCCGAGGAGGGCAGATCACAGGGTCAGGAGTTCAAGACCAGCCTGGCAAAGACGGTGAAACCCTATCTCCACTAAAAATACAAACATTAGCGAAGCGTGGTGGCAGGCACCTGTAATCCCAGCTACTTGGGAGGCTGAGGCAGGAAATTGCTTGAACCTAGGAGGTGGAGGTTGCAATGAGCTGAGATCATGCCACTGCACTCCAGCCTGGGCAACAGAGTGAGACTCCAACTCAAAAAAAAAGAAAAACCCATTTTCTGGAGAGAAATTCAAGCCAGCTGAATAAATTTGCATAAGTAACTAGGAGCCAAAGGTTAATCACCAAGACAATGGGGAAAATATCCCCAGGGCATGTCAGAGAAATTCAAGGCAGCCCCTCCCATCACAATTCCAGAAGCCTAGGAGGGAAAATGGTTTTATGGACTGGAGGTCCAGGGCCTCCCTGCTGTGTGCAGCCTTGGGACTTGGTGCCCTGTATCCCAGCTGCTCCAGCTATACCAAAAGGGACCAAGTACAGCTCAGGCCGTTGCTTCAGAGGGTGCAAGATCTAAGCTTTGGCAACTTACATGTGGTATTGGGCCTGTGGGTGCACAGAACTCAAGAATTAAGGTTTGGAACCTCCACCTAGATTTCAGAGGATGTATGGAAACATCTTGGATGTCCAGGCAGAATTCTGCTGCAGGGGTGGGGCCTTCATGGAGTACCTCTGCTAGGGCAGTGTGGAAAGGAAATGTAGGATTGGAGCCCCTACACAGAGTCCCCACTGAGGCCCTGCCCAGTGGAGCTGTGAGAAGAGGGCCACCCTCCTGCAGATGCCAGAATGGCAGATCCACCAACAGCTTGCACCATGCACCTGGAAAAGTCACAGACACTCAATGCTAGCCTGTGAAAACAGCTGGGAGGAAGCTGTACCCTGAAAAGCCACATGGGCAAAGCTGCCCAAGACTATAGGAGCTCACCTCTTGCATCAGTGTGACATGGATGTGAGACCTGGAGTCAAAGGAAATCATTTTGGAGCTTTAAGATTTGACTGCCCTGCTGGATTTCAGGCCTGTGTGGGTCTGTATCCCCTTTGTTTTGGCCAATTTCTCCCACTTGGCTGTATTTACCCAATGCCTATACCCCCATTGTATCTAGGAAGTAACTAACTTGCTTTTGATTTTACAGGCTCATAGGCAGAAGCGACTTGCACTGTCTCAAATGAGTCTTTGCACTGTGGACTTTTGAGCTAATGCTGAAATGAGTTAAGACTTTGGAGGACTGTTGGGATATCATGATTGGTTTTGAAATGTAAAAAGATAAGATTTGGGAGGGGCCGGGGTGGAATGATATGGTTTGGCTCTGTGTCCCACTGAAATCTCATCTCTAATTGTAATTTCCACATGTTGAGGGAGAACCTTTAATCCCTACGTGTTGAAGGAGAAAGGTGATTGTATCATAGGGATAGTTTACTCAGTGCTGTTCTCTTGATAGTGAGTGAGTTCTTATGATATCTGATGGTTTTTATAAATGTTTGAAAGTTCCTCCTTCCCACGCTGACACTCTCTCCTGCTGCCTTGTGAAGAAGGTGACTGCTTCCCCTTCCACCATGACTGTAAGTTTCCTGAGGCCTCTCCAGCCATGGGAAACTGAGTCAATTAAACCTCTTCCCTTTATAAACTATCCAGTCTTGGGCAGTTCTTTATAGCAGCTTGAGAACAGACTAATACAGTACTATAACTACTTATGGACAACACTAAGAATATCTTACTTTGTTATTTAGTGTAGATATATAATTAACTTCAATACATTACTATTAATGTCATAATAAATCCTGGCTCTCCTTCTTTAATTTTTTTATTCCTTCTCTCCTTTCTTCTAAATATTAATTAATGTCCTTAAAGTCTAAGATATTCATGAACAAAGCACACACAAAGATAAATCATACACTATTACTGCCAAAACTACATTCTATCGGAAACCTGTTAGCCAATTAGTGGAAGTAAGCATTGTTTGTGACATGATAAATGTTCAAAGGACGTGAAGAGCATCACAATGTTGAAGCATCAGGGAAACACACTCTGACCATTCTCCATGAAGAAACAAACTATGCTGTTTTAAACTATGAGGACTCAAGGAGCTGAGAGCAGTCTATGACTGAGAGCTGGCATTAAAAATAAAAAAGAATAACAACAACAACAAAACCCACCTTAGTCCTACAAAAACAGGCACAAGGAACTGAATGCAGCCAACAACCACAATGAACTTTAATGAGGACTTCAAGTTCCAAATGAGAACCACAGCCGTGACTATCACCTGGATTTCAACTTTAGGAGATCTGCACTGAGAACCCAGTCAAACGATGCCTGGAATCCTGACCAACAGAAACTGTGAGATAATAAATTACTCTTTTATACCAATAAGTTGATGGTAATTTATTAAGTAGCAATAGAAAACTAATTCAAGTCAGCTGACTTTTCTCAGTTTTCTTTAAATCTCCTCATCAATATTATTTCAGTTTACACTCTTTAATTACTGCTAGTTACCATATTCTGAGCACATATTCGTGTCTACCCTGCCCAAATAAATTTTATATATAATTTTAGATACTTAGAAGTAAATTAGTCTGTACCATACTAAGGCTAAAATAATCATATTTTAAAGCTATAATTTCAGCTGACAAATCTCAGACATTTGCTTATTCCAAACTTTCCCTCAGATATTTTTAAGAATATTCAGGTCCCTCAATATCCACTGGTACAACTTCCCCATCGGGCCATTTTATTATGCTTTAGCTGGTGGTATCTATTTGTGATTGTTCCACAGTTGATCATAATTTTTTCTACTATTTATCACCACTGCCAACACACTCTGGTGTCTCATTCAAATGTTTCCTTTGCCACTCAATCCAAATTTTAGAGCTGATTAATCCATAATAACTTTTATTATAACTTAGGCCAAGTTAATATATGTTAAAAGTATTCTGATGAATTTCAGAAAATGGATGCAAAAAAAAAACAACAACAACAGAGACTAGCATACAAATGTTCTTCAGAAGCAATATATAATTATTTTAAAAAGCCAGCTCCTAAATTCCTTATCTCTAACATAACTTATCTGGTTATACTTTTCCAAATTATCATGTGTAATTCTTTCTTCAGTAATTTTGCATTTGTTAGTAGTATTTTGGTTACAAATACCATAAATCGAATTTAAAACAACTTAAATCAAAAAAGGAATCACACTAAGGTGTGTGAAGAAACCTAGGACTGAGAACACAGTTCTAGGAATAAATGGAAACGGAAATTTTTCTCTGTTCTCCTTATTTTTCTGCTTCATGCATCTGTTTTGTTCTTTATTCTCCATCTTAAAATGGACTTTCTACACTTCTCTATCTCTGGCAGTATGGAACATGACTGATAGAAACTTCTGAATTTCAGGCAATATAACCTTCAGGCAGTCCTAGAAAAACTAATCTCCTCCCTCAGTTTAAGTTCCAAAATTCCAAAGGAGGAATACCTATTGTGTCAGAATTATGTCTATGAACCATTCAACTAAGGCAATATTGTGCCATGAACATGAGTTATCATAATTTAACACGCTAACATTCACGGTAACCATGTAGATAGTGTGTGTGTGTGTGTGTGTGTGTGTCTGTGTGCGCTTGTGTGTGTGTGTGCCCTTGTAAAGGCAGATGAGAGTGAGGAGAAAGATTTCACCTCTCAGGAAAATGTGGAGCAGTTTTCAGGAATTCTATGACTAGTGGCAGATGCTGGCATATTGGGTACGCCAGATACCCATAACCAATTAATAACATACAGACTTTTAATTCAAAGTTAACGCCTTTTCCCATTAAGGGCTGAATCTGTGTATCTCCTGCAAATGCATCCACTGAAGCCATGGCCCCCAATGTGAGGGTTTTTTAAGGTAAGGCCTTAAGCTGCCCAGTTTGTGGTGTTTTGTCATAGCAGCCTGAGGAGACTAAGACATCCATTATAAGGAATGAACCAGGAAATAGTATGGCGTACCCTTCATTGGACACCATACCTCTCCAAGGACCTCAGTCCACGGTATTAACTCACTTCAGTTTGGTTGAAAACTAATTGTTCGGTACTTGCTATGTTTTGTATTGAAGTCTAAAATACAGAGCCAATTAAAAAACAGTTCTTATTGTGAGCATCCAGCCTAGAAATGAAAGCAGGCACATAATTGATATTCAATGCAGTGTACTAGGGAGGAATGCTCACACTTCAGTGAAGACACAGATAAATGAGCGATCGAATCTACGTGAGTAGGTCAGTAATGATCTCCTACCCCAGAATATTAGTTGACCCATGTTTACTGATGAAAAAAGCCAGATAAAACATAGCAGATATTGGACATTACAGGTAGAGAAAAAGCAATAGGCAAAGACATAAAAACATTAGCAAGCATGTGAATGTATGCATACATTCATGGCAATACTAATTTTTAAATATGGTTTAACTTTCCATCAAAGTAACACATAAGTTTAAAGAGTCATTTCATCCTGCAAAGCTAATACAATACTGCAGATCCTAACCATTGAACTCTGTACAGAATCAAATATATTTGACTGTTTGAACTCATTCTGTTAGTGTTACCTCCATCTTGATAAATGGCGTGCTTATATAACCACTTATTGATTTTTCAGTTTTAGCCCTTATCTATGAACTTTGTAGCATAGAAGATGATAACTGAACTTATGTTTTCTTACCTAATGTTATTCTCTGTCTCAGACAATTACACAGACAAACAGACACTCCAGTTCAACTTTCAAATGTAGTTATAACATATATTTAAAACTATATTGAATTCTTATTACTCTATTAGGTACATTGTATTTTGCTTACTATTTTTTCAAACTTTTAGTTTTCCCCTAGCACTTTTAGTAGCTGAATATATAATTATTCATTTAACCCTCATAACAATTATATGAGGTGGTATTGTTATATTTTTATGTGTACCTCATAGATGAAGAAAATAAGTCTTTATTAATTGTCCAAAATCACACAGCTAGAAAATGGTATAACGGTATTGGAACACAAGAATTCAGCTCCAGAATCCACTTGTGTGCTTAACCACAATTTTATGCTGATTCTTAGTTGTGATAGCTTTTGCTGATATTGTTTTTTTATTTTCTTAGCTTTAGCAGTCATCCTATATTTACTTTAAATTGAACTCCAATTATGTAAATCTCTCTCTACTCTTCCAATCCCATTACGTGTTCTATTAATTTTATCTTCCGACTAGAGCCTTCTCATTGTCTTTAGTCAAAACTGGCTGTTCTTGAATTTTTCCTGTCTGTTATACATTCTTAAATTAAAATAATTCTTTCTCGTTATTTTTTACTTAAACCCTTTGCTCTATGTAAACTGCATATTTTTAAATTGTGTTTTTTAATGGTAACTCATTATTTCAATGAGATTTTATTTTTTATTTTATTGTGGTTTGGGTGTGTTTTATGTCATTTTTTATTAGAACTTGATAATCTTTCGCTATTTCCTCATATGCAAGGCGGGATTTCTGAAAGTTAAATGGAAGTTCTGGTGTGTCTTTGTCTTCCCTCTGGTCTCTGCTAATAGGTGATCTCCTTAAAGTTTTACTCACCGAAACTCTGATGTTACTCTCATTCCAGTGTCTGTTTCTGGGGATCTCAAGCTCTTTGCACAGTATATTCACTTTTACTTAATCTTCAGTATTGAAATAGTACCCTCTCCCTAAACTTGGCAACTTTGAACAATTTTCTATGAAGCATAAACTTTCTGCCTTTGTCTCAGTGGGTGTCTTCATTTTTGTGCTGCTATAATAGAATACTGAACATTTGGGTAGTTTATAAAGAACAGATTTATTTCCTATAGTTTTGTTGGCTTCAAAAACCAATATTAAGGCACCGACAGGTTTGGTGTCTGGTAACGGCTTGTTCCAACTTCTGAGATGGTGCCTTGAGCACTGCATCCTTCAGCAGGGAGAACACAGTCCCTCACGTGCCAGACAGCAAAAGGACTGGAGAAGGTAAGAGAGGCAGAACTCACCCTTTTACACCAGCATCAATTATACTTAGTTTTATGAATCACTTTTTTTCAACACTAAGATGTAGGTTATGTGTGGAGTTTCTTTGTTTCCCTTTTTTAAAAAAAAATTATCAAATTGTTTCTATACCTCTTGCTGAAAGAATTCTTCCTCTATTCAATTGCTCTTATACATTTGGAAAATTCTTTGTCTTGTTTGTTTACCTATTTCTGGGTTCTCTATCACTATTCTTTGCTCTATATGTCTCTCATTTGTCCAATATCACTGTCTTGACTGTTTTAGCTTTGCAGTCATTTATTAAATCAGATAATGTGAGTCTCTAAAATCTTACTCCTAAGAATTATTTTGGCTATTCCACTACTGATGCTATTCCATGTACATTTTAAAATCAAAATTTTTATAACTAAAAAAAAGTGTTCTGTAATTTTGAATATGATTTCACAGAATCTATAGAATAAATGAGAAAAACTGACATACTATGTTGTCTTCCAATCCATGAACATGATATGTATCTCCATTTATTTAGATCTTCACTGATTTCTTTTATTAATGTTATGTTACTTTATGCCAAAAATGTTTAGACATATTTTGTTAGCATTATACAAATAAAGTATTCCATAGGTTTTAATGTCATTGTAAATGGTATATTATTTTTAATTATCTATTTTTATTTCTGGCATATAAGGATATAGCTGGATTTTGTATATTGACTTTATTTTCTGTGACCTTGCTAAACACACCTAAATTGTTTAGATACTTTTAGCTACCTTGTTTGTTTTACAGTATCCTCTTTCTCACGTCTGTATGATTTGTAATAATGTCACTTTTTCTTTTCTTATAGAAACTTTTTTCTTTTTCTTTTTTCTCTCTTTTTTCTTTTTTTCCTTTTTATCCATTAGTGTTGCTTGAGGGTTATACTTTTATTAATTTTTCAAATAATTAACTTTTGACTGTGTTGCTTCCTCAGTTAAATTTTGGTTTTCTATTTTATTGATTTCTACTATCATCTGATTTATTGTTTCTTTCTAGTCTTAACATTTGATTTATTGTTGGTTTTTTTTAGATTTTCGACATATAGTTAAGTAATTGATTTTTAGTCTGTATTATTCAAGGCTACAGATTTCCTGCTAAACACTTTCTTAGCTTCATGCCACAAATTTTAATTTGCTATATTAGTATCTAATTTGTTTATTTTGCTACTGAAAATCCAAGTAAGATATCAGGTGAAAAGCTAGGTTCATAAATTTATTGTGTACATGAGCTGTCTTAACTGAGATATAAATTTGAAAGTCACCAGCATAAAATATTAATTAAAGTCAATAGAATAAATATGATTTTAAAATAGTACGTGTAGACAGAAAAGAAATTTTTTCAAGCATTCATTCCTATAACAAATCAACATTAAAATGTCAAGGAGGTCAAATGAACCAGCAAAAATGTCTAAGAATGAACGGCCAATGAAGGAGAGAAATCAGAAGAGTGTAATGTATTGAGAGCTTAACTGTAATTGTTTAAAAATAAAGCCTTATTACTTTTCCCATTAAAAAGTAGATCCTATTTTTCATCTGCTTATGTTTGAATTGGATCTGTGACTTGGTTTGACTACTGAAATTGGCAGAATTCATAATTTCAGGCTTTTGAAGGTATGTTTTAAAAGATTTTTGAATGCATGTTGATGGTCTTCAAATGCTTACTTTAGGACCATTGCCTTGAGACTGCCAGTTTGTAAGAATACTCAAGCTATTTATAAAGAGAAACCATGCGGAGGAGACCTTATGCACCTCAGCTATAGTCCCAGCTATATGTTTGTGTGTATGTGTGTGTGTGTGTATGCATCACTTCCAATCTGCAACCTGGAAATATACATATGTGTTTTGCTCTCCTTGGAAAGCTGTGGTATCTTTTTTAAAAATTACAACATTCTCTTTGTTTCACACCCTTTTGTGAAATTGTTGTGAAATTATCTATATTTTTAAAAGATTGTTCTTTGCATTTTATCTAGTGTTTCTAGGTATTTGCAGCAGGGGTTTTCAAGTTATTTTGTCAATGATTTTGCCAGACATAGAAATTCTGTGTGTGAGAGATATTAGGAAAGTTAGTTTTTATTTTGAGCCACTGTTTCTCAATCTGTAATATTGAGATAGCAATATAAACCAAATAGAACTGTTGTGAAAATTAACAAGATGATGCATAAAGATTATTTCTTTAAATGTTAGTTTATTTATTTATGAAAAATTTTGTTCCCTACATTTATACTAAGTGACCAGTAACTACCAAATGTGAATTGTGTTATATAATTTGCAAATCAAGAAAGTTAATACACTTTAGTCATGCCTTTTTTCTCCAAAGTCCCAATAGATTTATCTTGTCACAATATGAATTTTGAAATACACATCAAGTGTATTTGGATAAGACTTGGTAAAATTTGTTATAATAACCTTCTTAAGTGATTATTCAGATCCAATGACACCTGAAGTCACTGAGGTAGAGGTCTCCATTGCCATAACTCCATGTCTAATATCTGTTGTGTAACTAACTGTCAATTTATAACATAAGAATGTGTGACACACAGTGAGCACCCTGAGTTTAATAAAGATGTGGGCACAGTACCACAGAATATTCATGAAATTTTATTTTAAATATGCTTTGAAAATATAGTGAAGATTACAAGTATAATGATAATGATATTTTTAAAATTCTGATTTTCTGTTACAGGTTTCCTACTACATTTACATAATTTAGAGTCAGATGATTTTTTTTTTGAGGCGCAAATTTTATCACTTACAGTCTGCAATCTGGAAATCAATAGTGTTCTCTTGGCACCTCCTAACATCATAAGCAATTAAACACTTGAAATATAAACTTAGCTTAAAATTGTGTTGACAAGTGAGTTGGCCACAGCTGTCTTAGAATCTGCAGCCAACAACAGTAAGAACATATTTTTGAGGAAAGTGATCAGATGTGACTAAAGTGCAAGACACATCAGAAACTAAATTATTCAGTTACTGAACAGAGAAGTAAAATTTAAGTAAGTATTTTTGTCCCTCGAATTCATCTTGAAGAATTACAAATGTGAGAGGAAAACATTACTGTGCATTCTCATACTCAAATTTCAAATGTCATCAAAAATAAAAGAAGCAACTCTGTCTCATAGTAAATGTTGAATAAACATGCATAAATTTATTTAATGAGCACAAACTAATGCTGTCTTTTACATAGGTAATCATTAATTTAAACAAATGTGAATTAATATTTATTTTACTTAATTTGTTTAAAAGTTAACAGTCACTCTGTGAGGCATTGACATTTCATTTTCCGTGTGCCTTATTTCATTTAGTCCTCATTACAAAACTATAAGTTATATAATGAGGCACAAAAGTTTAAGTAATACATCCAAATTCATATAATGAATAAATCATAGAATAAAGATTTCTTCCTGGGCAATATGGCACTTACTGTCTTCACTTACTGTCTCCATATGAAAAGGAGATACAAAGAGAATAATGCCCTAGAGAAGCAGATACATTGCTAAATGAAAATGATGACAATATTTCTAATCCTGAAGATTACTGTTTACATTGGGAAACTTGGTATATGTATTGTGATCATATGGTGTGTGTGTGTGTGTGTGTTCGTGTCTATGTGTTTGTGTTTTGCTCAAGCTGTTGCTCTCAGGTTATCGGATTTTGACAGGAGGGCCTTTCCGTACATATACTGAAAGACAGACTATAAAAAAAGTACTCTCCCTTATGCAGCATAACGTTAAACAAGTTTTGCTACTAAACATGGGGTAGTGCCTTAAATTGAAGACCAGCCACGGAAAGTGTACTGTCACATGTTGAAATTGTCTTAGTATCTGTGAGGCTGGCACATGCACCCTAAGACATGATAAGGTTTTTCCTAGCAACAAGACTTCAACTAGCAATCACTCTGTGAAGAAGTTCATAGTGAGGTAGGGCAAAAGAAGAAAAAGATTTATTTTTCTCTCCCTGTCAACTATACATCTATAAGGCTTAGACTCCTTCCTAGCAATATGGAGATGTCAGGAGTATGCCTGGAGGTAGGTCTTTTCAAATTGGTAACATCAAGAGACAGAGAAGGAGCTAGAGATTCTGTGATCTCCAGATCACAAATTACACAAACGGGCTTCAAGAGTGACCATTTCTAGGAGTATATGAAAGCATTTATTAGATTTGTATGCCTACATCATATTTTCATTCAAACTTTTGACTATTAGAGAATGCAGTTTTCCCCCTCTGAGTCATGCAGATGTGTTAGCAGTGGCCATTTCACAGGAAGTGTCTGCGGGATGCAGAACTGTGACCACACAAGGACAGTGGCGTTTAGAAGCAAAACAACATTTAAATATTAATCTATTATATTTTAATGGAAAAGTACAAATGTTTGCACTTACAGCTTTTTTAAGACTTATTGACAATGTATTAAATACAAAAAAAAAGAAACTGATGTTCAGAAAATGTAATGACAGTCTAAGAAAGCATACAGATTTAGTAGTGGTGGGCCCATTAAGAAGGCTCACAGTACTCTTATCCATAGCCATATATTTTTATCGAAATTACTGAAGTTTAGATCTCTGGTGTGTTTTGAACTTATAAATTAATAAATCTAACATTGGACCTTCCATCAATAAGAACAACAAATCTCTGTCAATTCTAAGTTTGAGCTTTACTTACTACTCAGTAGGAAAGAAGGGGAATATAACCACTGACTGTTTACATCAATATTTAAAAATGCTAAAGTGCTGTCTTTACTCTGCTTTTAAACATCTCTAGGAGTCAATTTTTTTTCTTTTCTATTTTCTTACAATGCATCATTCAAAGATCAATTTTGTGTGTTAATAAAAGCATTTTAGATGAAATAATTTCTACTGGGCTTTAAAATTATTTATTGAATTTCACTAGATTTTAACAAAGCACATTGTGAATGATTATATTAAAGCACTTACATTATTGTGTATTTTTTGACAACTTCACTGCTAGCATAACCAGCATTTGAGAAAACCAACACACTAAATAAATCTATTACGGTAATTTTTAATCTAAATACCCTTCCCTTCATTGTTTGGTAGGCCCCCGAGTAGAATGGGAGAGCTCCAGATGCAACTGACTAACTGAAGATGTCACAAAGGCTGAATCTTCTATGCTACACTTTGGATCACTAGAAGGACCAGAGTGTAGTCAACGATGTGTAAACAACTGAGAAAAACTTTTCTCTGGAAACAACTGTGATTTTGAAATTCAGTGGTTTCTTCTTTCTAGCTGAGAAACATTGAGCAAGTCACTGCAATAACATGGAATCCAGCTGCTTTATCTGGTGAATTAGGATAATTCATAGTGTACAACTAGGATTACAATTAATTTATCAGTTAATATTGCTGCAAAGAAAATCATTCTATAAGTTAATGGCTTAAAACAACGATTATTTAATACACTTTTTCTCTGTGGGTAAACCGTGTGGTTTCTCTAGTCTGGGTTAGTTAGTTTGGGCTTGGATGACTTAGAATGTTCTCAGTCACACATCTCTGGCCTCTGCTGGGGTGTCTGGGAAAGCTGAACTCCTTGTTTTCATGGGCTGTCACTCCGGGAGTTAGCTTAAGGTTATACTTATGATAGAAAAGTTCCCAGAAGCAAAAGCGAGTCAGCCTTAATGTGCAAGCACTTCTTAGCAACCTGCTTCCATTAGGGTTGCTAAAATCCCGTAGGCTGAAGTAAGTCATAGGACCAAGCAGAAATGAGGTGGGAAAATAAACTCATTTTCTTCACAGGAGCAGCCTCAAAAAGTTTGTGGTCACAAACTCTTCACTTTTTTTTTTTTTTTTTTTGCAGTTTCCAACAGGGTAGATTTGAGTATTAGTGAAAATGAATGCAAAGTGTTTGTCATGTAGTAAGAACTAAATACATTTTATAATTGTTAATGTGTTTTACCAGCCATACTTTTTATCATCCTATGATTTAACAAACATGCATTAAGAAAATGTGTGGGTAAGGCTGCTTCAATTATAATCACTTGAGTCCTTTAAGGTTCTGCTTATGTTATACAGGATATAGAAAGTCATCCCAACATACTGACTGTCTCAAATGTATTTTGTTTTGGATTTCCCAACTATATCACAGCCTGTTACGAACACTTAGTTACATAAGTACATTCCATCTTATGTCTTCATTTACTTATTTCATGACTTAAGTTTTATACCAACTCCTCCCTAGTTAGATTTTAATCCCGTTGAGTAAAAAGAGGGATTATATTTATCTGACATAATTAGGACTACCTAGTACAGCATTGGATCTGAATTTTAGATTCTAAACAAGAATATTAATATCAACTTCCCAACTCTATTATATATACCACTGCATTCAATATATACCAATCTAGTACAGTTAACATCGTAGGTAGCATTGTGACATGAGCCCTCAAATAGGTAGACAATCCTGGGATTGAGTACTGGGTCTATGAATAGCTTTGTGACCATGGACAATAGTAAGCTTCTCTGAGCTTGTTTTCTGTTATAGCAAGAAGAAAAATATATTTTATAATGATAATGTTAAAACAAAAATGTCTTGCTAATATGGATTGGATTTGTGTCCCTGCCCAAATCTCATGTTGAATTGTGATCCCCAGTTTTAGAGAGGTACCTGGTGGGAAGTGATTGGATCATGGAGGAGGATTTCCCCCTTGCTCTTCTCATGACAGTGAGTGAGTTCTCATGACATCTAGTTGTTTAAAAGTACATAGCACCTCCCCTTTTTCTCTCTTCCTCTATCTCCAGTCATGTAAGACATGCCTGCTATGCCCTCTCTCACCACTCCTATTCAACATAGTGTTGGAAGTTCTGGCCAGGGCAATTAGGCAGGAGAAGGAAAGAAAGGGTATTCAATTAGGAAAAGAGGAAGTCAAATTGTCCCTGTTTGCAGATGACATGATTGTATATCTAGAAAACCCCATTGTCTCAGCCCAAAATCTCCTTAAGCTGATAAGCAACTTCGGCAAAGTCTCAGGATACAAAATCAATGTACAAAAATTACAAGCATTCTTATACACCAATAACAGACAAACAGAGAGCCAAATCATGAGTGAACTCCCATTCACAATTGCTTCAAAGAGAATAAAATACTTAGGAATCCAACTTACAAGGGACGTAAAGGACCTCTTCAAGGAGAACTACAAACCACTGCTCAATGAAATAAAAGAGAATACAAAGAAATGGAAGAACATTCCATGCTCATGGGTGGGAAGAATCAATATCGTGAAAATGGCCATACTGCCCAAGGTAATTTATAGATTCAATGCCATCCCCATCAAACTACCAATGACTTTCTTCACAGAATTGGAAAAAACTACTTTAAAGTTCATATGGAACCAAAAAAGAGCCCGCACCGCCAAGTCAATCCTAAGCCAAAAGAACAAAGCTGGAGGCATCACACTACCTGACTTCAAACTATACTACAAGGCTACAGTAACCAAAACAGCATGGTACTGGTACCAAAACAGAGATATACATCAATGGAACAGAACAGAGTCCTCAGAAATAACGCCACATATCTACAACTATCTGATCTTTGACAAACCTGAGAAAAACAAGCAATGGGGAAAGGATTCCCTATTTAATAAATGGTGCTGGGAAAACTGGCTAGCCATATGTAGAAAGCTGAAACTGGATCCCCTCCTTACACCTTATACAAAAATTAATTCAAGATGGATTAAAGACTTAAACATTAGACCTAAAACCATAAAAACCCTAGAAGAAAACCTAGGCATTACCATTCAGTACATAGGCATGGACAAGGACTTCATGTCTAAAACACCAAAAGCAATGGCAACAAAAGCCAAAATTGACAAATGGGATCTAATTAAAGAGCTTCTGCACAGCAAAAGAAACTACCATCAGAGTGAACAGGCAACCTACAAAATGGGAGAAAATTTTCGCAACCTACTCATCTGACAAAGGGATAATATCCAGAATCCACAATGAACACAAGCAAATTTACAAGAAAAAAACAAACAACCCCATCAAAAAGTGGGCCAAGGACATGAACAGACACTTCTCAAAAGAAGGCATTTATGCAGCCAAAAAACACATGAAAAAATGCTCACCATCACTGGCCATCAGAAAAATGCAAATCAAAACCACAATAAGATACCATCTCACACCAGTTAGAATGGCAATCATTAAAAAGTCAGGAAACAACAGGTGCTGGAGAGGATGTGGAGAAATAGGAACACTTTCACACTGTTGGTGGGACTGTAAACTAGTTCAACCATTTTGGAAGTCAGTGTGGCGATTCCTCAGGGATCTAGAACTAGAAATACCATTTGACCCAGCCATCCCATTACTGGGTATATACCCAAAGGACTAGAAATCATGCTGCTATAAAGACACATGCACACGTATGGTTATTGCGGCACTATTCACAATAGCAAAGACTTGGAACCAACCCAAATGTCCAACAATGATAGTCTGGATTAAGAAAATGTGGCCCATATACACCATGGAATACTATGCAGCCATAAAAAATGATGAGTTCATGTCCTTTGTAGGGACATGGATGAAATTGGAAATCATCATTCTCAGTAAACTATCACAAGGACAAAAAAACCAAACACTGCATGTTCTCACTCATAGGTGGGAATTGAAGAATGAGAACACATGGACACAGGAAGGGGAACATCACACTCTGGGGTCTGTTGTGGAGTGGGGGGAGGTAAATGATGAGTTAATGGGTGCAGCACACCAGCATGGCACATGTATACATATGTAACTAACCTGCACATTGTGCACATGTACCCTAAAACTTAAAATGTAATAATAATAAAATAAAATAGAAAAAAGAAAAAGAAAAAAAAAGACATGCCTGCTTCCCTTCACCTTCTGCCATGGTGTAAGTTTCCTGAGGCATCCCCAGCTATGCTTCCTGTACAGCCTGCAGAGCTATGAGCCAGTTATACCTTTTTTTAATAAATTATCCAGTCTCAGGTAATTCTTTATAGCAAAGCAAGAATGGATTAATACACTGGCAAAGTAAGAATGGACTAATACTCTGGCAAAGTAAAAATAATTGATCCCACTACATATTTGTTCTCACATTACTTTTCTTAACATATCTTATAGTAGCTCATCTATTTGCAATTGTTCATATAATTTCTTCAACCCCAAATATGCACATTGCATCTCACACCCTTCAGTTACTTTCACATCCAAGTAATCTTTATGCCTCCTCTACATTTCAAGCTGATATTTTTTTTCTGCTTCCAAACACCTAAACATTCTAGTAATACTACTTAATGCTATAATTATGCTCTCCATATACTTTAACATTTAAAAATAAAGTTAATTAAGGTTGTGATGCATGCTTATCTTAAAAGTAATGGATTAGAAGCACTTCCAGAATAATATAGTAAGGGCAATTGACTTACAAGCAATGAGAACACTAGCAAAAATTGTCAAAATTAACCTTCAGAACTCTGTAAATTAACAAAGATTTGCAATAGTCTGGTGAGCCTTCATTTAAGAAAGATGGCTGAACTTCAGTCGAAACAGTTTGCTTTTTAGTGTTTTAACTTGTCCTGATGCCAGCTCCTTCTCCTCAGCTTTGGGGTAGTTTTGGAAGCCAACAACTTTGCAACCATAGTGCTTGCAAAAAGAGCAAACTAGAAGCCAGAGGAGGAACTAGAATTCATATGAACCTTCTCCAAAAGCCAAAACACTAACGAATAGTGATTATTAATCCTTTCTGGAGTCTTCCTGTAACAATGACATTCATAAGACTTGTCTCTATTTATCTTAACTCTGTGCTTGCCCAGTGCAAACAGTCTTATTCCCAGGAAATTTGTTGAAAAAAATCAGTGGCAATTGTTTAATACTGTAACTTAATGAAATGGCAACCACTTGGGGCAGATGAAACATTGGCCATAAAACTTCAAACTCAAACTTGAAGAATGAGGTGTCCACGGAGGGCTTTGGATAACTCTGACATATTCCCGAGACTATAGAAGACTACTCACAAGTGCACAGGTGTATGCGTGTCCTGGAAAGACCTTAGGAGGCTGTAATCTCTCACCATGGGCTGACTTGAGGAGTTTCACACAAGAAATTAAGGTTAAAGAATTGCAAACTGCTGGAGCACTGAAGGCATGCCCCAGCATCCACACAGAGCCCCTTAACAAGGGCTAGTGACTTACTCGGTCAAGAAATTTAAAAACGTTATTGTCTAACCATTATATGACAACTAATATAACAATTAGAAAAAAAAGGAAATAAAATACGTCTATATTGGAATGGAAGAAGTAAAACTGTTTGCAGATGACATGATTTTATACATAGAAAATCCTAAAAAACCCACAAAAAGAGTTTTAGAAGTAATACTATTAGACATATTAGAATAAATTATGTCCACAAAATTGTAATATACAAGATACATATACAAACATCAATTGTGTTTCTATATATTAATCAATTAACAACTTAAGATAAAATTAAGAAAACAATTTCCTTTTAATGCCTTCAAGAGATTTACATATTTGTGAATAATCTTAACAAAATAAGTTTAGTTCTTGTGCATAGAAAACTATAATAATCATCAAAATAAATTAAGAACCTATGAAATAGAAAGGCATCCCATTTTCATTATTCAGAAACAAATATTATTAAGATAACAATACTGCCAAAGTTAATACAAATTCATCACAATCTCTGATAAAATCCCAGGTGAAATTTTTGCAGAAATTTGATAGCTGTCTCTAAAATTCATGTCAAAACTTAAGGAGCACAGAATGGCCAAAGTAATTTTGACAAAGGATAGAGTTGGAGAAGTCATATCTCCAAGTTTCAAAACTTACTACAAAGCTGTGGCAATTAAGATAGTGACATATTGGCATATGGATAAAAATACAGAATAAAGAAATAGAATTAAGTAGTCAGATAAAAATCTTTACATTTTTGATAAATTAATTTATAACAAGGGTTCCAAGACCATTCAATGGGGGAAGAAAAATCATCTCAACAACTGTTGCAGGTATATCTGGATATCCACATATAAAAAAATAAATTAATTAAGTTGGACCCCTCACTTCATTCCTCAGACAAAAATTAACTTTAATTTAGAAGCAAATTAATTTTAAATTAAATTTAAAAGTTTTAAATTTAATTTAAAAATTAAATTTAAAAGTTTTAAATTTAATTTAAAAATTAAATTTAAAAGTTTTAAATTTAATTTAAAAATTAAATTTAAAAATCATATATTTGATAGTAAAATTTAGTATCCAGAATATATAAAAAACTCTTCCATTAAACAATAAGAAAAAAACTCAATCAAAAAATGAGCAAATACTTTGAAGAGATAATTCACCAAAAAAGATACACAAATGGCCAATATGCACATGAAAAGATGCTCAACATTATTAGCTATTAAAAACTCAAATCAAAACTACTATAAATTACTACTTCACACACCACTAAGTAATTAAAAAGAAAGCATTAACAAGTCCTGGGAAGAATGTTAAAAAGTAAATTCCCCATATGCTGCTGGTCTGAATGTAAAATGGAACAGTCACTTTGAAACACAGTTTGGCAATTCCTCATTAGAATAAACAGAGTTGTCATATAATAAATCAGTTTCATATCTCAGTATAGCCCCTAAAGGAAGTCAACTTTATGCCCACAAAGTTTTTCTACACAAATGTGCACAGCAACATTATTCATAAAAGCCAAAAAGTGCCAACAACCCAAATTTATAAATTTAAACTAAACAAAATTGGGTTTATTAATTTAATAAGATTAAGCATAAAAATGAAGTACTGATACAATTACAACACATATAAAAACATTATACTACATGAAAGAAGCCAGTCACAAAAGGCCACTCATTGTATGAGTCCATTTATATAAAATGTCCAGAATAGGAAAATTCATAATGACTGAAAATATATTAGTGGTTTCCAAGGGCCATGGGGAAGAGGGAATGGGGAGTTACTGCTAATGGGTATGGGGTATCCGTTCGAAGTAATGAAAACATTCTCAATTTAAATATCAGTGAGGTTGGCATAATTCTGTGAATATAGTTATACCCAATACATTCTCAATCATAACAGTGAATTTTATGGTATGTAAATTGTATATCAATAAAATTGTTATCAAAAAATAATAACAGATTATTTATCTTCTGATCCAATCACCCCGCTCTGGCCAAATTCACTCTAAAATATAATACTTTTTTTATATACACCTCCAATTTTTGCAGTTATAATATATGTAGACATCTTTCTATATATGTGCACACTTAAGTCTTCCTGCAGAAGAGACATTGAGAAGTGTACAAAGTTATTTTAAAATAAAGAATTTATAGGAGACAATATTCCTTCGTTGATTTCTATGATTTCCCAGTATTTTTTCTTCTGAAGAAATATTTATTTACCTTTGGACTCATGACTGGCATGTATTCAGAAACTTTCTAAATAACAAAGGGTATCTTTTCAGGATTTTAAGAGTTTTAATGGTTGAAACTTGCAATCTTCATTGGGACTCCAACTTTTCCAAATCAATGTCATTTATAACATTAAAATCTCAAACTAAAAGTTACAAATGAAAGTTATTGGACTACTCATTCCAAATGGGTAGATGTCACTGAGTTGAGTGAAATATTTTCTCCCTGGGTGATTTCACCTAGTCTCATGTCAGTAAATATCAGGTTTAGACTGTCCACCTCCAAATTTTAGTGTTAGTATAGGTATCTCTCCTAATATCCAGATTTCACCTAACTAGGCTGTACTATTTTTGAATTATGGTATAAACCAATTAGAATATAAACAGATAAAAAACCCTGAATGTTTCCCACTCATCTTTACTTCCACTAGACTACAGCACAGTAAAAGACACAATAATAGACCATTTTATATGATATGCTAAGCAGAAATACTTAAAATGAAAATTGCCTGAGGAATCTTTCTACCAAATTCCTTCACTTCAGTGATTTAAAGAGCTTCTAAGCTTTAATATCATTCCAACACCATCTAAAGTGACATTTCCTAATCTTGGCTTACAATCCTCTTTGTCATTTTGGCTCTTGCAAATCTCAGAACTTAATCTCTGATTTTGCCAAAGACTACTCTGCAGCTGGATTCTGCTACAGCCGAGAGACCAGATGCAAGAAGACATCCTGGCAGGTCTCATATTGGTTGGCTACAGAATCGATATTCTTTTCTGTAAAGTTTTATTGCATACAGAAGTGTTTGTTCTTTCCTCTCTTTTGTGAGACAATTACTGCATTTTTGTACTTTGGATTGTTGCTTAAATATTAATATTGATACTGGATTCTTCAGTGACTTTCTTCATACATATTTTAGTGAATGGATAATAACTACCTCATAAGGTAATGATGAGGATTATAGATAAATTAGATTCTGAATGTTACATTCTTCCTGAAATGATACAGTGCTTATATTTGTTACCTCAGAATTCATTTAGTAAATTCGTCTGAACTAACTTTACTAGTCAATTTCAGTGTAGTGAACAGCCCTGAAAATAAATAAATAAACAAACTTAAATACTATATCTCTTTCTTTGACGAGACTTACAGTTTAATAATCCATTAAATTGCATTAAATATCATCTCTTACATGCACTATCTAGTGAGCCCCTCCCAACAAATCAGTGAGGTGGACAAAACTCATTTCCCTTTATTGTTTAAAAATAGCAATTACTTACAAAAGATGTCAAATATAACATTACGTTTATATAGTATTAGAATATTGTATTTCTATGAAATAGATCTGTGCTTTATCTACGAGAGAAGACATACTTTATAAAAGAAAAATCAATTTTCACTTGAAGAAAGAATATTTAACATATGAATGATCTAAACAAGATTGCACTGTCGAAAAGGAAAAATAACAAAAATAAAACCCCTTTGTTTTATTTTAGTATTTATCAGTTCTATATCCCATATCTAACTTGATCATGATGGCATTTATGCCCAACACTAAGTAAATTATTTATCTTTATGTTTCCAATCAGGGATTTAAACTGAACAGTTACCTGTTAAAACACTAGTTTATTCATCATATGACCCTGAGTAAATTGCATACTTTCTCTGCTCATTAATATGTACTTTTACATTTTTTGAAGTATATCTTTGGAAATGAAGATAATCATTTCCAACGTAGAAAAATGTTACGGTTTACGCAAAGCACCTGGTAAATTATAGTCACTCGATTCATATTTTTCCTAATTTATTCACTTCTCTCCCTCTCTTCACCCTCACTCCAAATATACAATGCATTTGTTTTGTATTTTGAGCTCCAAAGAGGAAGCTTATTATGCAAAGAAGTGAAATTTTGTGATAATCAGATGGGCACTATTTTGTTTAAACAACCTTTATGATAATGCAGGAAATGTATTTAATGGCAAAGCAATCAATAACTTTAATATAAAAACTTTCAGACATTTCAATCCTACTGACTACATTCTGATAGCCAAAAATAAGAATAATGATTAGAAAAATATTTTTTATATATCCTGTGTCTCAAACCTGGTACAAAGATACAAAACTTCTAGATCCAAGAGTTATATTTATATGAACTGCAAATGATAGAAATATTGACTTGGATTTGTGTCACTTCTGAACCATCTATGCGAATTGAGTAAACTGGCAGTCTCCATTCGCATATTCTGTAACTTAAAGTCTGATTTTAGAGACACATAATCCTTACAAGAGTTTACCAGTGTTGATTTGGTGATGAGTCACTACGATTGGCGAAACCTAATAATATCCCTCAAGGATCTGGTAAAATGCTCACCCGCTCAAGCCCCAAAACAAGTAAGTAAATAAACAAAGTGATCTTCAGATAGAAAGGACTACTAATTTATAACAACAACAAAACAATAAGCTAAAATTTCCACTGAAGTATAAGTTTTGAAGGCAGAACAGTCCAAGGCTAGAGACAAGAGACTTGAGAGAGTACACAGAGGAGGGAGCTATGGCTATCTATGCTCTGCATTCTAATTGGCAGTCTCCTCCCACTGCTCTGAAAAACTCAGATAAGCTTGTAAAGCTTCCAACACTCCTTAAGAGGCAAAATCTCACCCCACTGAAAATCATAGCCACCATTATAATCTCTGTCTTAATTCATGCCTCTGAGTCTGTTTAGGTGAGGCTAGGTATTTACTACGTTGTCTCAAAGAAATTTGCATAGATGCTTCTCTATGCAAGTTCACTAGAGATGAAATATCTGACAGTGTTCATAATAAATGGTTATTATTGATAATATTTAATTAAATTTTCTTCTTTATTGTATAATTTATTTAAATGAAAAAAGTGCCTCTCTGATGATTATGAAATCCCACTCCATTATTATACTGTATTTTTCAGTAAATCGTATATTTGAAGTAAAAATACCAAAGGAAATTATGTAGAAGTATCCCTAAACATTTAAAGTAATCCAGGAAACATTAAAAAAAAAACCCAAATATATAAAATGTCTTTTTTCATTTATGAACTACTCATATGTGTAATTATTTTACCAACATATTTTATTTTGGAAAGTAGAGCCAAAGAACAGAAACTTAAAAAAAAAAGTGATAGTTATTATATTCCATTCATTAAGCATGGTCTTTGTACATTTCCTCTTATTAATCAATCCACACATAAAATTATTAACAAATGAAACAGCTCCAGGCTTTAATGCAAACTAAGAAAATTAATTTTAAGCAATAAAATTCCAGTAAATATAATATTTATTGAGTTCTTACTATGAACAAACACGGTGATAATGCCAAAAATAAATAAGACATGCTTCCTGACTAATTAAAATATATTTTTATATTCAGATGAAAAGATATTGGAAAACTATCAAAACTTAGGAAAATAATTGTTATAGACTTAATGTCAATATTAATTGTTTTGTTCAGACTAAAAACTGAAAGAAATGCACCTCTGAATGACATCAACCGTGTAAATGGGAGTTCTATCACTCATGAGAAGCTTCTTTTAACCTTCTCAAGGAAGATTTTACAGCTGTATGTATTGTCTTCTTGTCTGACTATACTAGATAGAGTCTCTGGCCAGGCCCCTTCCTTCACCGGCAGCCACAAGTAACACTTGCATAAATAGCCACTACCCAATTCTAAGATTTGTGGCAAGACGTGATGAACCATTGACCAGTTTCTCAGAACTCATCTCATATCAGACTCAAGATTTAAGCCTGCCTGAGGCATACTTCTGTACAACCAAAGGGTTCCCCAAGTCCTTTCTAGTAGGAATCAAGAGGGAAGTGGAATGGTGGAAAGAATGGCTGTTTTTCTCAGTGAGCCTTGTGGAATTTTTTACTATTTAAGCTGCACATGGCTCTATAAGCTCTATAGCTTTGCTGAAAGAGACACCTTTAAAAAATCAACAATAATTTAAATATATTTAATTATTCTTCTAACATGCTTGTGTGAAAGGAAAATAAATCTTGGGACCTCAAAATCGCTAAGCTAAAGGGAAAAGTCAAGCTGGGAACGGCTTAGGGCAAACTTGCCTCCCTTTCTATTCAAAGTCACCCTTCTGAGGTTCACCTGAGACAAATGCATATCTGATTGCTTCCTCTCTCCTGTTGTTTATTTAAAAATACAGATTCATTGAGCCAGGCTAAATTGTGTATTCAGTGCAAGGCTGACGAAGGAATCTACCAAAGAATGCAACCAAAGAATGAAATGTTTTGTCTCTTATCTACTTATCTCCTTTTGTCTCTACTTCTAAACTGGAAGCCCCTACTTCCAGTTGTCCTGGTCTTACCAGACTGAACCAATGTACATCTTACACATGTTGATGGATGTCTCATATCTCTCTAAAATGTATAAAAGCAAACTCCACCCCCTGATCACCTTGGGCACATGTCTCAGAACTTACTCAGGCTGTGTCATAAATGTGTCCTCAACCATGGCAAAATAAACCGTCGTAAACTGATGGAGACCTGTCTCAGATATTTGGGATTCACACGTGTAAGAGTTTAATCTTACCCTGTGATTCGAATCTAGTTCCTCATACAAGGGCTCATAGGAGAAAAGTATGTATTTTATTTATTAAATTGCTTTGTCAAGATAAATGAATCATCCATTCATTTGTGTTATAATGCACCATCACAAGTGACTTCAGAGGGAAAGGAATGCAGTGATTTAAGATAAACTCTAATCACAGACAGATGAATGTTCAAATTCTTTCTTTAACAACTACAAGTTGCATAATCCTAAGTTACTTAAACATGATGAACTTCAATTTGATTTTCTGTAAAAACAACAACATATTATTTGCTTCAAAAGGTTTTGTAAGTGGCAAAAAAAAAAAATTTGAACTCATTGAGATAGAGAGTAGAATGATGGTTACCAGAAGCTGGAAGGGTAGTGGGAAGGGAGGAAATAAGAAATGGTTAATGGTACAAAAATAGAGTTTGGCGGAAAGAATGAGATCTAGCACTTGGTAGTACAATAAGGAGACTATAGTTAACGATAACTTATTGTATATTTCAAAACAACTAAAGAGTGTTATTAGAATGCTCCTAACACAAATAAATGATAAATGTTTCAGGTGATGGATACCCCAGTTGCTTCGATTTGATCATTACACATCGTACGCTTGTATCAAAATATCACATGTACTTCATAAATATGGACAAAAATGGCTTTGTAAGAATTAAATTGTGTTTAAATCTTTTAGTTGATATATGACACAATATTTTGTCTGGACCTGCTTCCTCTTCTTTAGAATACACCTGCTATTGTTTTTGTACATGCCTTTTATCTTTAGTACATGCCTGTTATTATTGTTCTTTCCATTCCTTCTAAATATCCTTAAGGTACATTTTTGAAGTAGTATTAAGGTATTTACTTAGATTTATACAAATTTTAGTTAGCATGGATTTATTTCCTAAATTCTGAAAACAAGGCATTAACAAGGAACTGACCTAGGCCAAGTTCAAATAACTTCTGCAAGCATGGCAATAACTTTCAAAAACTTAAATCTTTTGTTCACTTCCTGAGTCTATTACATTGTTCCTGTAAAAGTAAATAACATGTAAAATTTTATGTTAAAAAGGTTATTTGTGTCTACTTTGTATTATGTATGGGGCAAGAGGTGATTTACAGACCAAAAAATTATCATTTTTCAAAACGTTAACAGAAGTTTCTGGAAGAGAGAACAACTCTAGATAAATATTGTACCATATATTTTAGTAGAGATTCTGTCTTCTTCAGTGGTTTTCATCCTTGCTTTCACATTGGATTCACTTTGACAGCTTCAAAAATGCTGATGTTGTTTTTTCATCATCCAGAATTTCTTGTTCTGTCAGCCTAGTACATGTCCTGGACATTGGGCTGTTTAATACTTTTTTAGCTGATTTTAAGCTGTACCCAATTTTGAAAGCATCAGCCTCCCCCTTTAAGTTGCATGCCATTTCAACAAGTGTTAAAATATTCGGGATTCTGAAAATCCCTAAGTCTTCACACTCTGAAATGTCACTTTATTTATTTATGGACAGCTTCATCATATAGTTGGGGAGAAAGCATACGGAAATCAAGCACTAAATATTTTCATGCATATGCCAATAAATGTATGTATAGAGAGTGTTAAAGCAAACTAAATATGGCCTAAGAAGGATTGCATACTCCTATTTTTGAGCCCTTGTGGATGAACTGTAAGTAACCTAGCTTAATAGGCAGACAAGATTGAAAACCTAACTTAGTAGTATGCACCCGTAACAATAGCTAGGTCTCGGCCAATCCAAGCAGCCATACTTCAACCATTCATACACTACTGAGTGTTCAAACTGTGTTCAAATAAGGCATATGACAAGCTGTAACCAATCCAGCCATTCTGTACCTTGCTTCCAATTTCTGTAAATCATTTCCCTTTTTGTTTTTTTTTGTCTATAAATCTTCTTCCACTATGTAGCTGTGCTGGAGTCTCTGCGAATCTGCTCTGATTCTGAGGCTGCCTGATTTATGAATCATTCATTGCTCAATTAAACTCCTTAAATTTAATTTGGCTGAAGTTTTTCTTTTATTAGATGGTGTCAGAAGTGGGATCCAAAGTGGAGCTTCCAGCAACCCCCAGGTGTGCAGAGTGAACATGCAAGGTAGCTGCAGGACCCACTTAGGTCCATTGATTTCAGAGCTGCTGGGGATTGTGGGTAAGCTCCCTCTTGGATTTCAGAGTTCCACAGATTTGTGTTTTGAGCTCTCCAAGTTTCTTTGAGCAAATTTCTGATCCAAACTGGGTTTGGAGTCATGACAGAAACTGGACAGGGTCTAGGAATGGATTTGTTTTGGGAATTAACTGGCTTGGATCCAGTTAGAGGCCTCTTACATCTGACTGGGTCAGAAAGGAACTGGTAGTAAGCAGTAATATGGCAGGGGTTATAAAATTTGGCTTTTGAAAATTCACAGGGATTTTTGTGTTCTACCCCTTTGTTTCATTTTATTGTGCAGCTAGGTAGGAAAAAAAAATCACTGGCTAAGTTAATTAAGAGAATCTAAGAGTAAAGCCAATATTTTAGGTAAAAATAGGATCCTTAATTTCTGGAAAACTGAGCTCTTTCCAGCTTATACATTAGACCTGGGAGGCAGTGATGTCTAAAGAAATGGCGACATCTTACTAAAAATAACTCACAGTGGAGTGTTCCAAATGAACAATGCACCACTGAAGTACATTTTTAAATGAAGACTCTCAGTAAAGACCTTTTTGGCTAAAAAGGGATTTGGTACTATGGGATGTTAACTGCTATTCTCTTTGAAATAATCTGCCTTGCACTCTTTGCTGACAGCTGTGGGTGACAGAATTAGACATATATAGGATCGTGGGACATGGGGAGATTTTTTCTCCCTAAGTGGGAAAACTTGAGAGCTGATGGGACTGCAGGAAAGGATCCCTTCACTAGTAACAAGTGGCCACCTGAACTTTTCAGTGTTGCTGAAATGAATGGATCTTGCTTTGATCTCCCTGAGCTCTTCACCTTCTGCATCCTGCCACAGGCAATACTTTCCTTTTTCTTCTTTTCCTTTTCTATCTTTTCTGTTACTCAGGGTGGCCATCTTGCCCAAAAGCCATGTGTTAAAACTCCTAGTCAGAGGTTGGGTTAAAGATGACAGGGCCCATCTGAGGGTAAATCTAAACCTTGCCAGTTTGATATTGAGTGCTAAGCAGAGTGGCTAATGTCTATGCTTTATTGCATGTATTTTGCTTTGGCCAGAACAAAAAAAGATCCTTTCCTTTATGATGCAGTGTGACCCCAGGGCGATGATGCAGCAAGCTGGGTCACCAGGCCGCTCAGGGAAAGGGAACCTGGAAGTTCCAGGTAGCATGCAGGCAAAAGGGTAAGAATTTCTTACCAGTCAGATTTCTGGATTCTCTCTCTCTGTGCAAACTCATTGAATAAATGGCAAAAGTCACTGTGTACTTTCTCTGTAAAGTTTTAGTTAATGTGAAAAAGAATTCTGAGGCTAGTCTCAAGCTTTTGTGAATCTGGTGTATTTTGTGCTATGAATTTGTTTTTCTGTGTGGAGGGATACCTTAGGATAAAACATGCCCTTACGATAAAACATGCACTTAGGGCCCCATAAGATCTCTGCTCAAGATGGTCCAGCAATCTGGTCAGTAACAAACTTTGCTGCAGGTCCCTGAAACAAACAAAAAACTGAATGATGTCTCCATCTTGTTTTATGTCCTTGGGAGTCCGACCTTATAACCATGTGGAGATACTTTCTGTTGGTCTCTGCCTTCCAGGGAACAGGAATTTTAGGATTCAGGTATTAGTTATCTCTAAAAATTATCTTGAGTAGTTAAAAGTCTTTGAATGCTCAAAATTAACTATTCTAGACTCCTTCTGGGAAGTATGATGGCAATTGCCCTATGCTATGGCTCAGTAGTTACGGTTTTTGCCGTATCACAGGGGCAGTCTGGGTTCGATTCCCGGCACAGGAAGTAAGACTTTTTTGGTTTAATATCTGGATAACCTTTTCTATTCTCTTCTCCTCAGCAGACTATCTTAAATTTTTCGTTCTCTGCACCTGGGAGGTTACCTTCAGTAAATTTCAAAAGCCAGAAATATTGGCCATTTGGCCTGGCTAAAGTCAGGTAATAAGAAATTTTAAAAGGACTTTATTAAAGAGTGCTATGGTTAAAAATCAGCTTAATTAAAAGTGGATATTCAAGCTCTAACAGCCTGTACTCCTTGGGAAAAACAAGAGGCACCAGAGAACTTTCCCTGCCCCTGTTATTCCAAGGACTCCACCCTAAAACCAATAACCAATTAGGAAACTTAAAAATTGGCAAATGAAAACTCTTACAACTACTGTACTAATCTTCCATCTGTCTGTGTAATTATACATATGTGTTGCGTGTAATGTTTATATAAACGAGCTCTAATTGGCTTAAATAAAAATAAGCACTTAAATCAAATTATTTTGTCAAAAAAAAAACCCGAATGCCTTTCAGTTCACGTGACGCTAGCAATTTTTTGCAAATAAAGATAGTTTTAAAAACTGTTGGTAACATTTTTAAAAAGTCTTCAAAATTTAGACATCTGGTCTCACAGAGCCATTAGATTCTAGATAAGACCTGGGGACATGTGGAATTAGCCATGTCCCCTAGCTATACAAAGAAGGCTAGAAAGAAAGAAATTGTACATAAGAAAGAATCTTGTATGGTTAATTCTTGTCCTAAAGTAAAATGACTGATTGTTTAAAAAGAGGGATATTTAGGGCAAGTCAGAAAGTCCAAGAGTGTCTTAGATGATCTGTATAGTCAAGAAAGAATTTATGAAAGGAAATTTATGCAAAAAATGTTGAATAACTTAAAGGTGATTAGGCCTCCTAAATGCTTCATAAAATGCCACTGTGACTCTTAACTGTACAATGTGCCTGCTTTACAAAGTTAGGTAAGGCCTGAGACACGTGGAGTGAGATGCCGGAAAGGGTCAGACCTAATCTGCATTTGTGTCTGGGTCCTAGGCTCCACACTAGTACACAGTTAAAATTCTGAACTTCCCAAGGTTTTCACCAAAAGTTGCTAAAAGTTAGCATTGTAACATGTAATCGAGACTACCGAAGAAACGGTTTTACATGCAAGGTGTGTAAGAAAAGTGAAATGTGTTTTTGGTAAACATTATAAGAAATCATGGGAATGTGAATTTTTTTTTCTGCCTAGATTAAAAGGTTAAAGGATTGTATTAAATTAAATAAAGCTAAAGTTTAAACAAGTTGTGGAAGAATTTATAAAAATTAACCTTGTAAAAAATTCTATGTGTGAAAATATTGACTAATTTAAGGGGGTATTATTTGGTTTCTCTGTAAATTGAGCATTGAAATAAAAGCACAGCAGATTTTCTTAAAGCACTATTCTGTTCTTTAACAAAAATTGTAAGGAGTTATAAAAGGTTTATAAAATTCTTACCTTATGGTCAAACTGATTAAGATTGAATACATTCGTCTGTAATGTTTCATTAAGAATTGGGTTTAACATCAATAATGCACTAATGCAACAGTGACATTGGCTTATTTGGTATAAAAATCGTGAGAAGCATTGTCAAAATAAAAATAATGTTCAATATTCAGGTTATATTTTAGTGAATGATATTAATATATGTTCCAAATTATATGAGATTTCTAAAATTCTAATATGTCTGAGTATGTGCTATCGGTCATAAGTAAGATTATTATGTTAAGTTATTTTAGACCATAGAAATAATCAAATTTCCTAGTTTATTGTGTTTTTAACTATAATTATTTTATTATGTTAAGTTATTTTAGACCATAGAAATAATCAAATTTCCTAGTTTATTGTGTTTTTAACTATAATTATTTAAAGTGATTTCCACAGTTAATTGCTTAATGCTGATGCAGTTTCTGAAAACTTCACAAGCAAACAAAATCCTAGAATATGGCGTCTTTTAAAAGGTTCACGAGGCTGGGCTCATGCCTGTAATCCCAGCACTTTGGGAGGCCAAGGTGGGCAGATCACGAGGTCAGGAGTTCGAGACCAGCCTGGCCAACATGGTGAAAACCCATCTCTACTAAAAATACAAAAATTAGCCGAGCACAGTGGCGGGCGCCTGTAGTCCCAGCTACTTGGGGGGCTGAGGCAGGAGAATCGCTTGAACCCGGGAGGCAGAGGTTGCAGCGAGCTGAGATCGCGCCACTGTACTCCAGCCTGGGTGACAGAGCGATGCTCCATCTGGGACAAAAACAAACAAACAAAACAAAAAAACAAAAGATAAACAAAGAACGTTCATGAAAGGATGTAAAGGAACCTGAAAAGCACTCTTATCCTATTATGGGTAAGAATTCCCCATGAATTCCCCAATTCCTCTAGAATTGGACTGGGTAAGAATTCCTGAAATTTTAATAAGAATACTGACTGGTTTATAAAACTGCTAACCCAAGAGAAACAAAATTAATTATGTACCAAGAAAATACTTTGCCAGATTATCATGTTAAATTAGCCAATACTAAAATTGTTTAGATATACAATTTGATTAAACTCCAAGGTCTAAGTCAAATTACCTATGATAATACATCAGTTATTAGTGCTATGCACCTAAATTGGAGAAACAACTGTCGCTCAAGAGGACGTAAGTCCGATGTTAAGTATGGACTCATGGAGAACCAGGGCGGCCACCTTGTCCTTCTTGAGTTCTTAAAGCTTTTGTTATTAAAGGTCTGCATTCCATGAGTCATCATGGAAAAGATAAAATAATCCAAATTAAATATATTGATGTAGTGACTTATACATTGCAGAAATAGTCTAAAAGCAACGTTTGATTCCATATTCCTGGGAAGACAATCAAAGCTTCAGGTACATTTGGCTACTGAATGGGCCATTTAAACATTTATAAAGGGATTTCATTCGATTTTCATTTTCATTGCATGTTTTCTGGTTGTATAAAAGCTCTCCTATGCAAGAGGGCTGATGTTGTAACAGTAGATTATTATGCTACAGTGTATTTTCACCAGGTAAATAAAGCTTTCTATGGTTTACTGAGGACAACCCCTTCACAGTCTGGAAGCTGAAGATCGTATCTTCTGAGAACGTCAGAGAGAGACTGTCCTCACCATCCACATTGCAGCACAACTTTGGAAACTTGAACTTTGGGTTCATAATCTCACAACGAAGAAGGGTCCCTCCACACTCTTGGAACTCTACACCCATTGGAACCTTAAGCTAAAACTAACCAGGGAAGGTAAAACTTCCCCAGGAGAAGATGGCATCCTTGATGTGAACAGCTTTTCCCAAGATCACGGATCAAGACTTTTCTATTACTATGAGACCTCTTAACTTTGAATATTTTTTTCTTCCTTATTCCCCTACGAACAATAGAAATGGAACACTTATGGGACACACTTTTATTTGTAAAGGAATTTGCAGCCAGCCTTAAACATGAATGAACTTATACTTTAATAGATAAAAGATGAAGGCCCAATGTAAGTGAGAAACTTTAGTGGTACTTATGTTGCCTCATAATCAGTCAAAACTCCTCTTAACCCACATCATGGGTTAAAGAGAACATTGCCAGGTGGCCTTCACTCTTCTAGATGGACATCATTTGTTAGGTCCTTTTTCCATCGTTTAGAATAAAAGAGACAATAATTAGAAATGAATCCCTCATAATAGGCTCTATAGCAAATTCTACTATAAAGCCTACGGTTATACAACAGACTTTAAATTCCCTCGTGAAAGTTATGCTGAATAATAGAATTAGCTAAACAGAAAAGTACCTGAACAGCCGCTGGCCCTTGTGGCCTATGAAGAAATACATCAAATGTAAATTATAAAAATTCAGTTGTAGGTGATTAATGAAAACACTACTTAGTCAAGCGAGTAAACTCTTCATCCAGCTCATTCTTTAATCTATTTATTTTTGGGTGGTTTGGTTTACGGGGGCCCTGTGTAAGGAGCATACTCCAAACTCTTGGTATTTTCCTCCCCATAGTCATAATAATAGTCTCCCTTGCATGCTGTATTCTCTCAAAGGTTTTAAATGTTTGCATGCAGCCCTCTCTAAAATGTCAAATGGTCTCTCTTCAACTGGAATGACAAAAGCTAAAAGAAATTTGTGACCATGAGGACACCATAACATATGAATGACATGCTGAGACTGGAAACCCAAAATGATGGTAACTCAGGGTAGCGCTAAGGCCCTAAGGTCACATTCTCACCTAAGTATGACCCTTGCCGAAAAGGAAGGATTTTTTAAAAACAAAATTCTGGGAGGCCATTGTTTTGGACTGAGTTCATACCCTAGGCTCCAACAGATCAAACCAAACAAAATGGAGTCACTTGTGCTAAATGTGACATAATCAAACTAAGACTTTAAGGAAACACATAGATTCTGGGACAGATCAGGTTTTGGTTTTCTCCCATAAACAGAACATTCCAGCATGAAGAGATATCCTCTACTTAGTCCTTTTTCCCTCCTTACAAAACCCACTGTTCTACTGAGTCCCAGTGGGTTTCAAGACCATGTAAGTACATTTGCGATGGAGTTAGTGACATCAATGACTAAGGTTTTGGTCAATCTCTGAAAATTGAGAAAATGACCAAAAGTGGGGAATTGTTAAAGCAAACTAAATATGGCCTGAGAAGGATTCCGTACTCCTATTTTTGAGTCCTTGTGGATGAACTGTAAACCTAGCTTAATAGGCAGACAAAATTGAAAACCTAACCTGTATGCACCTGTAGCAACAGCTAAGCCTTGGCCAATCCCAGCGGCCATACTTCAACCATTCATACACTGCTGAATGTTCAAACTGTGTCCAAATAAGGCATACACTGAGCTGTAACCAATCCAGCCATTCTGTACCTCACTTCCAATTTCTGTTTGTCATTTCCTCCCCCGCTTTTTGTTTTGTCTATAAATCTTCTTCCACCATGTGGCTGCGCTGGAGTCTCTGTGAATCTGCTGTGATTCTGGGGGTTGCCGATTCATGAATCGTTCATTGCTCAATTAAGCTCCTTTAAATTTAATTTGGCTGAAGTTTTTCTTTCATCAAGAGCTTCAGGAAAAAATAGAGAGCTTAGTTTCCTTGTTAGGATAGTAAAGGGAGAGGTCACCAAGAATATATGACTCGAACTGAGAGGATTTTTTCTTTTAATAACTTAATGGCTAGTTTCTTTTTTTTAATGATATATATTTGTTCCTTTAAAAAATAAACAATTTTTAAAAATAAAAATTAAAGTTAAAATAGGATGGGTGTCGTAGCTCACACTTGTAATCCCAGCACTTTGGGAGGCTGAGAAGGGAGAGTCATTAAGGCCAGGAGTACAAGACCAGCCAGGGCAACATAGAGATACCGTGCTTCTACAAAAGTAAAATAAAACAATGAGCTGGGCATGGTTGTGCACAACAGTAATCCCAGTTTGAAACTGCACATAAAAATCACTTTTTTGGTTTACCAGTCTCAGATTAGGAAAGCTAAACTACTATAAACCTCTCACTACGTAGGAGGAAGTGGGGAAGTTAGGTATGAAAGGAGAATTGAAGGGCCATAGAAAATTCATTCCCTCATATGAACGAGTTGGAGATGACAGAGAAATCTGGAAGATAGGCAGTTCCAGCCACCAGGTCAGCATCATCACGGGGAGCTGATGGAATGGCTCTTTGTGGCTGACGTTCAGGGTGAAAAATCAGGGCGGGCCTGGAGACACCTGCTTAGGAATATCAGCCCTCAGACAGAGAGCTCGATATGTAGCCAATGGAGCAAACATACAGGGGCCAGGCAGAGGATCTTTGTCCCTTTCTTACTATCTCTAATGAATTATGTTTCTCTGAGCGTGATGACTGATACTCTATTTACACCTTCCAAATCTCATAAACAACTCTTCGGCCACTTTAACTCAGAAAGATAACATACGGAGAGCTTTTCAGAAACACAGGGAAAGGTGATTATTTATTTTAACTGTGAAAGGTAAACCAAGAAACTTATGGGACTTATAATGGAAATTAATGATATTTGGGTAGGCAAAGATTTCTCAGCTACAAAGAATGCTAATCATAGAGAAAAATACTGGTTGACTGGACTATGTTAACATTAAAAGATTTTATTTACCAAAAAACAACCTTAAGAGGGTGAAAGAAAACTTTGTGAAATATATTTATAATATTTATAACACGTGAAAACTCATATTCAGAATATTTAGAGAATTTTTAAAATATAATAAAGAAAAGAGTCCAACCAAAATTTAAACAAAAACATCCCCTCATGTCACACAAAGAAGTAACATCAAATTGCCAATAAGTATACAAGAAGATGCTTAATCGTATTAGTCAACAAGAAAATGTAAATTAAAACTACAATAAAATACCACTACATATCCATCAAATTTTCTAAAATTAAAAATAGTCTGGCAATATCATGTGATTGTGAGGATGGAGAACCTTTGAAAGTGTAATATACTACTGTTGAGAGTGTATATTTGTACCACTTTGAAATGTTGGTGTTGTCTACCATTTTGCATGTCCACATACATATAATTCATCCAGAAACTTTAGTCCTACATATATACTCCCCACAATGAGTGTATATATATTCCAAAAGTGTGTAAAAGGATGTTTCTAACACTATTAATGATAATAGTCTCAACTCACATATCAATCAATAGGGAGTGGAATGAATAGATTGTGGAATATATATATGATGGAATATTCTACAGCCATGGAGATGAACAAACTATTAATGCACACAACAGTATAGAATGAATAAAAGAAATCTTCTAGAAGAAAAACATTCTATGCAATTTACCACATAGAAAATTTAAAAATCCAAAACTACACTATGATGTTAGAAGTCAAGGTGGTGGTTTTCTTTTGACAGAAAGGAGTAGTATAGGTGGGGATTGAAGACAGCCTCTGGGGTGCTGATAATTTCCTACTTCATTTGTGGTGTTACACGGATTTGTTGACTTAATGTACTTTTATTATTTATGCACATATTACACACTTTAGTGATATGTTTGATACAAATATTATATCCAAGACTTAATAGTCCTAGAATCGGCCAGGCACGGTGGCTCACGCCTGTAATCCCAGCACTTTGGGAGGCCGAGGCGGGCGGATCCCGAGGTCAGGAGATCTAGACCGTCCTGGCTAACACGGGGAAACCCCGTCTCTACTAAAAATACAAAAAAAAAAAAAAAAAAAAAAAAAAAAAAAAAAAAAATTAGCCGGGCATGGTGGCAGGCGCCTGTAATCCCAGCTCCTCCGGAGGCTGAGGCAGAATGGCGTGAACCCGGGAGGTGGAGCTTGCAGTGAGCCGAGATCGCGCCACTGCACTCTAGCCTGGGCAACAGAGACTCTGTCTCAAACAAAACAAAACAAAACAAAACACCACGACCACAACAACAAAACTAGTCCTAGAATCACACTCTTTGGACTTAAATGTCATTTCTCCAAAAATTGCAGGTGAGAAGAAATCAGCTGAAAAAGAATTCTTTCAAAGACAAAATAAGCACGAATCCTCACCAGTAGAAAAAAGGCTTGGAAACGCCAAGGAAGTTCATAGAAGGCAGGATGATTAAATATAATTAAATGCGCTTTTCCAGAATAACCACGCTTCACTCAAATGTCACCTGCTAACAAAGAAATTGCTTGATTCTCTATCAAAAGTAGCACCTCTTTTCTTCCTTTCTTCTTGCTTTGCTCCACTGTTTTCTTCCTAGTACTCATAGACTAATAGCATTATAATAAGATAGGCTTCACTTCGTGTGGCTCTCATATGCATGGATTTTTCTTACTACAGTTTAGTTAGATAGCAGGAGTCCCCCAACTACATTGACCAAATTTCAGTTTTCATGGGATAGTCACTGAGAATAATTACGTAAATAAAAACTTCACCACTACCTCTTCATTGCATAAATCACAAAATCAGTGACATTGAAATAGAATAAAACAGATTTGTAGAAGAAATAGCTGACCATGGAAATATTGATACTGAGTTGTTTCAGGGACCCTAAACACACAGCGAGAGGAATCTAGTGAAGGCAAATTTATTGGCATAAGTGAGAAAAGTGGCTATGACAAAAAGAATAAAGATGTCCCAAAGGAAGTGGTGCCAGGAAAAGAAAAAAAAGTTGAAACTTTGCATTAAAGGAATTTCAGAGACACTTCACATTATGGAAAACACAAAGGATAGCTTGATGGAAAATGATGCAAACTTAGAAAGAAACATGGTAATTTTTCAAGGTGTAGAAACATGTTCACTCCATTTTGTAAATTATACAACTTGAAGAAAAGAACACTGTTCAAAACTAATTCTGGTAAGTTTTTTAAAAAGCAAAACACATTAATTCTCAATGTTTTTAATATTTTATAGCATACTAGGTGTTACATTTTATACTTTTTATTTTCCTACACATTTAAGGTGGGCAGTAAGACAGTTTTTAATGTTTAGACAAAATTTTTAAAGGTAACTGAATAATAATATTTTTTATATTAATTATTGGGGCTTTTTTCTTGTAAGGAGGAAGGGGAGTTGGCACTATCAGGAAAAGCAATTCTGCCTATAGTATACTTGTGTTTTTCTTGTTCTTTTGTTGTGCCTTTTGTCTCTCTATAATGTAAGTAAGGTACGAAAAGAAAACTATGACCATCTATTTGGTGTACTGATGAATTCCAAGGCCCTGTAGTTAATATTTATTTTGTGGGAAAATAAGTGAATGAAAGAGGAACAGTAGGAAGAAAAAAAGTAGATATATGATAATACAGAATTATCTAGATAATATAGGGCCTTGTCAAGTTTGAACTTTATTTGAATGAATGGGAAGTCAATGAAGGGATTTAAGCAGGAGATTAACATAATCTGATTTATATTTAAAGAGATACTTTTGGCTTGTCTTTAAATAATTAAGATGATGTGAACAAAAGTGGAAAAAATTGGAACAGTTAAGAGGTTACTGTGGTGGTCCATGGGAGGATGACAGTGACTTGATTTAGCATGATATTAGTGCAGAAACAAAAAGAAAATGGTGTGAGCTTTTTTTGTGTGTCTGGCAAAATTAAAGACTTATTTATAAGTTGTAAATGAAAAGTAAAAAAAGAAAGAGGGATTAAGAATAACATCTAGATTTCTGCCTGGCATAGCTGAATTAATGTTGATTGTATTTACCAAGATAGAAGAATCTGAGGGAATAACATGATTGAGGACTAATGGAGTGGATAAGAATGTCGATTTTATCTATGTGAAGCCAGAAATATGTGGATGACATTCAAATGGAGATATCAACTAAACAACTAGATAAGTTAGCTCAGAGCTGAAATGTGCATTTGTGGCATAAATTTGAGTATATTTTGCATGACATTGAAAGTTATAGGAATGGACATTATCTTGTAAGAAGAGGATAAAGCTCAGGCCAGCCTGGACTATTCAATAATTGCACCGTGGGTAAAGGAGTAATAAAAAAGGAAAATGATCCCTAAATAGGAAGTCAGTGTGGCGATTCCTCAGGGATCTAGAACTAGAAATACCATTTGACCCAGCCATCCCATTACTGGGTATATACCCAAAGGACTAGAAATCATGCTGCTATAAAGACACATGCACATGTATGTTTATTGCGGCACTATTCACAATAGCAGAGACTTGGAACCAACCCAAATGTCCAACAATGATAGACTGGATTAAGAAAATGTGGCACATATACACCATGGAATACTATGCAGCCATAAAAAATGATGAGTTCATGTCCTTTGCAGGGACATGGATGAAATTGGAAATCATCATTCTCAGTAAACTATCGCCAAGGACAAAAAACCAAACACCACGTGTTCTCACTCATAGATGGGAATTGAACAATGAGAACACATGGACACAGGAAGGGGAACATCACACTCTGGGGACTGTTGTGGGGTGGGGGGAGGGGGGGAGGGATAGCATTAGGAGATATACCTAATGCTAAATGACGAGTTAATGGGTGCAGCACACCAGCATGGCACATGTATACATATGTAACTAACCTGCACATTGTGCACATGTACCCTAAAACTTAAAGTATAATAATAATAATAAAAAAGAAAGCAGAGTTACAAAAATTAATAAAGATGTGTTTTTCAAGGAGAAGAAGGTCAACTCAGTCAAATATTGTTAAAACACACTCAATAATATAAACACAGAATAGCCCACTGGATTCTTAGATGACAATTTTAGTTGACAATTGCAAAATACAGACAAAAACAGTTTTAGAAGAATGGTATGGATTAAGCCAAGATGTAATTTAAATTAAATGTAATTAAAGATTGAGTCAGTTTTATTCTCATATTTTACTATTTGTTTTCTATTTGTGCCATGTGTGCCTTATTCCTTTATTGTTTCATTCCTGCCTTGTTTTGCATTACTTATTTTATTTGGGGATGCTATTAGATTTGCAAGAAAATTGTGAAGATATTGTAAAGGGTTTGCATACATTTGACATCTGCTTTCCTAACATCTGTTGCAAGGCTTAACATCTCGCATTGGTATGGTATATTTGTCTCAATTAAGGAACAAATATTGATACATTATTATTAACTGAAATCCATACTTTATTCAGATTCTCTTGGGTTTTATCTAATTTTTCTTTTTCTTACAGGATTCCATCCAATATACCATATTACATTTAGTCATCATGTCCTTAGGAGTTCCTTAGCTGTAAGAGTTTCCTATATTTCCTTGTTTACATGAACCTGATGGTTTTGAAGAGTGCCAAGTCAAGTATTTTGTACAATTTATCTAAATTTGGATTTGTCTGATGTTTTCCTCATGATTTAGATTGTTATTAGATACATATGTATTATCAACATGATTTATCGCTATTGATATTGATCTCGATAATGTAGATTAGGTAGTAGTATTTTTCCACTGTAAGATGATTCATTTTGAGGCAATTTTGAGAAATCTATGATGTCTGGTTTGAGAGTGTTTTTTTTTTTGCATTCTTAAGCAAGCAGACCTCCAATCATTCCATCTTCATTTGTTAAAAAGATTCTCATTTTTCCATTGAATTGCCTTGGTTCTTGGTCTAAGATAGTTGACTATATTTGTGTGGGTCTATTTCTGGGCTGTCTATTCTGGTCCATTTATGTGTTCATTATTTGTGTATGTATTATTTCTGCAACACTATGCTGTCTTGATTACAATAGTTTTACAGCAAATCTTAAAATAAGATCATGTGAATCCTTTTGCTTGGTTCTTCTTCAATATTATGTCAAATATTTTTAAGTTCTTGTTGCTCCATTTAATTTTAGATTCAGTTTATTGATAACTACAACATAAATTGGACTTTAATGGGGATTACATTCAACAAACACCTCAAGTTGTAAAAAAGTGAAGTTTAAATAATGCTGAGCCTTCTAACATATGAGTATGGAGCATCTCTCTTATAATTTAGGTATTTGATTTCTTCCATCAGTTTTCCACAGATATGTCATTTACATTGTACTTCATTATGTTTTATTCTAGCTTTCCACAGATATGTCATTTACATTGTACTTCATTATGTTTTATTCTAGCTTTCCACAGATATGTCATTTACATTGTACTTCATTGTTTTTTATTCTAGCATATGTGATTTATTACTATTTTGAATTCTAGTTGTTCATTGAATTGTTTATGATGTTAAGGAAAAATCTATCTGCCCTCTGAAAATATTTATGGAATCATACATTTCCTCATGGACACACTACATTTGGCAAGCATGTATTGTCAAAAACCCAGACTTCTGAAATATGTCCATGTAACAAATCTGCACTTGTACCCCCTAAATTTATTTTAAAAATCCATATTTATTAACGTGGAAAGTAAGGTCATGGTAATTGTTCAATAAAAATAGTAATAAACAGCTTTAATAAACTTCCAATTTCTAAAAACATACAAATTTAAGAGTACGAACAAATGAACTCCAAATCATTAATAAATGAACTTTTGGAGAGTGGGATATGAGCTGCATTTTTCTTTGAGCTTCATTATAATTGATAATTATTCCATATCAATTAGCATTATTATATAATAAAAATTAAGCAAGAAGATATTGTTCATAAACTAGAATTGAGACTTATTTGTGTCACAAGCCTGAGAAATTTTAGCCCCAGTCATCCTAAATCAACTTACTACAGACAGCCAACATCAGACCATACAATATAGGCAAGAGGAAGTCCTGACATAATCATAACAGCTCCAGACTTAAGAGCAAAGTAGTTAGTTTGATTCCTTGTACCACCTATTTGAAGTTCTATGATGTTGTCCAAGTTACTAAACCTCAATAAATCCTAGTGGATTGGGATCAGGAGGCAACTAGAATTCTTAGAAGATGAAGTCTTCTTTCAAATATACATTCAGTTTATGCCATGAAATAATTTAGGTATTAAGAAAACATCAATAACAACTAAGGTACTAAATATTCACAATGTGAAATGCCTAGGCAAAGGCATGCCAACTTTGTGTGGTACTGCTGCCAAATACCAGCTTAGCATATTGCCTAAAATAAGGCACTTTTTCTCTACCTTGTTTGTGTTTACAAATAGAAAATATATTACTGTCAGTCAGATAGACATCAAACACATGAATACACCTATTAATGTACACATCTTTTAAAACCCGGTATTTGTCCCTTATTATGTAAATATTTGTGTGAATTTCAAGGTATTTTTTGTCAGGTTTATAAGATTTACATACACAAAAATGCATTCTTTTAGGGTTAGTTCTATGAATTGTGACAAATGTATATAGCAATGAAAACACCCTCACAATCAAGAAATTGAGTATTTTTATTAGTACCTCAAAAACTTCCCTTTTGTTCCTTTATAGACAACCATTACATCATCTCCCATTCCCTGAGTATAGCTAAACTGATTTTGATCCTAACAGTTATGCCTATTCCAGAATTCCATATACATTGAATCACAGAGTTTGTCATTTTTTATATTTTGTTTCTGGCTTCTTTCACTTAGTATCCAGGTCTTGAAAATTAATGTTGTACATGTGTCAGTAATAAACCTCTTTTCATTGCCAAGTAAGTATGGAGGCGTTGAATTACTTCCTTCAAACCATGATAGATATGAAGATAGTTTCCAGTTCGTGGTGTGTGTGTGTGTGTGTGTGTGTGTGTAGTAGGGGTTGGGGGGTGTTTGTGTGACACTAACTAAAGCCCCTGTCAATATTCACGTAGAGATCTTTTTATGGACATATATTTTTCATTCTCTTGCATAAATATATATAAGTGGGACTGAGTTTTATGGTACATGTTTAACTTTATTAGAATCTATCCAAACACTTTCTAACGTGGTTGTATTATTTCCCATTCCGAGAACCAGTGAATGAGAGATTCAGTTTCTCTGTATCCTCATCTCCACTTAGTACTGTCAGTATTTTAGCTGTACTATGGTTTGGGTCTGATATCTCATCATAGTTATGATGCCTAATGATCTTATAATGGATAATTATTCCATATCAAATAGCATTATTATATAATAAAAATGAAGCAAGAAGATATTTTTCATAAACTAGAATCAAGACTAATTTATGTCACAACCCTGAGAAATTGAGCATGTTTTTGCTGTGCTTATACAAAATCTACATAATTCTTTGGTAGACTGTCTATTTATATATTTTTACCATTCAAAGGGGTTATCTTCTCATTATTTAGTTTTGAAAGTTTTTCACACAATCTGGATACAAGTGCTGTGTCAAGTATGTGTTTTGTAAATATTTTTTCATAATAGCTCCTATTTTAGCAATGTTATTTAAAGAAGAGAAGTTATTAAACATACAACATTTTTCTTCTTTTTCATACTTGTGTTGGCTATCCAGTTCCTTTGCATTTATATATTCTATTAGTTTTCTGGGACTGTCATACAAAATATCACAAATTGAGTGGCTTAAAATAGCTTAAATTTATTCTACAATTCTGGAAGCCAGAAATCTGAAATCAGAATTGTTGTCCAAAATCAAGTTGTGGGCAGGGTTATACTCCATCCAGGGCTGTAGAGGAGAATCAACTCTTCCCTTCCTCCAGCTGCTGGTGGATGCTGTCCTTCTTTGGTTGGCTGTATCACTGCCATGTTGAAGGCCAACACCATCAAATCTCTCTGACATCATCTTTTTCTCTGTAGGTCAGTGTCAAATATCTGTTTGTTCCCATTTATCAGGACACCTATGATTGCATTTAGGAACCACCTGGGTAATCCAGAATAATCTCTCCATCTCAAAATTCTTAATTTAATTTCATTTGTAGGATGACATTCCTCCATTTTTTTTCTACATATGGTAACATTTCTACATTCCAGAAATTAGGCTGTGGATATTTGCTGAGGGACCATTTTTTAGCCTACCACATATACAAATTTTAGAATCAGCTTGCTTCTATCTAAAAAAAAGTCTTGATTATTTTGCATTATGTCTATAGATCATGTTGGGGAGAATTGGCATAATTACTATATCTACCAATCATGAATATAAATATAATATGTCTAGCAATTTAAGTACCTTTGATTTTTTTCCATCAGTGTTTTGTAGTTTATGGAATATAAATTTTGTATGTATTTTATTAGAGTTTACTTAATGCATGAAATAAAAGTTGAATTCTCAATCAAATATAATATCTAATAATTGACACTAAAGGATAGCTGTGCACTTATCTAAAATGCTGTTATATGTTGTAGTATAAAACCAGATGAATACTTCAGCATTATATAAGCAATAATATTAAGATACATTAGGCAATGCTATATTTTTGGTTGTCATAGCAGTATAATTTGGTTAATATTTATACAGAATCCAATAATTTTAATATATTTTGATGCTATGACTTCTGCATCATTAATACCTGTAAGTAAAATAAGTATGTTTTCAAAGCAAATACCAATCTCTCTTTGGAATTAAATGCAGTAATAACAGAGGGTCTCTGAGGCTGTTTTCATTTTTTCTTCTACTTTCTACATCAAGAGAATAACACCTTTCTTCTTTTTTTTGTTTCTGTTTGCCTGCTTTTTTCCCTTTTTCTTCCTTTTTCATTTACTGTCCTTTCTGAAGAGAGTAGGGTGAAAATGAAGGTGGTCAGAACTCTTCTCATACTTAGATTCTGAGGAAAATACAAAGCTCAGATAACCAGCAAAGAGACTACATATATGTACTACATGCACTAAAAGATGTCATTTCGTCTAGGATATGAGTCTCCAATTTAGGTTCTATAGATTTGTTAAAGGTAGCGAGAAAATGGCCATGCACTTCCTGAAGGCTTACCTTGAACCTGGCATGTGAGTGAACATTATATATGTATAGGAGTTTTTTAACTACTACTAGCAAAACTTGTATTTATAAAAAATTTGTATTTGAAACATTTGTAACAATAATTTACAAACAACTGAAATAGGAAGGTTTTTCTGTGGTAAGACAACCAGATGTAATTAATATATGCAACTTCTTTGCTGTTTCCGGAATGGAATAAAATTACCATTAACACTAGAAATATACTAAATAGAATTTTAGGTTTGCTTAAATATGTAAATTTAAAGGAGGAAAGCAAACAATAAAAGTTGGCAGCTCACTATAGCAGCCATCTCCTATCTAATTTTGAGACCATCATTTCCTCTACTACATTTCTCACCATAAGCTTACAAAGCAGCAGTGGATGGATCTGAAGATTCATTAGATTAATTAAATTGATTAAAGTCACCAAGCCATCAAAAGTTCAAGCGAGAAGTCAAGTTCACCTCCAACACATTTTAAAGGCCAGACTAATTCCATAACAGCATGCCATTAGCTCCCCACAGATGTTTGCTATACAGAGAGCCTTACAAGTATGGTATATATAAAGGAAAGCAGAGTTGGAGGAAATAAGAATGAAGAAATTTATTGGTAATAAGAAGTTGGAAATTCTTCCCAAAGTCTTGATTTAGCTTTCTTCAACGTCTGCCAACCAAGATGGGAAATCAGATAAAAATGACTAAAACTAACTTCGACTCAGAGCAGCTTTTTATTCAGGCAAAGGAGTGACAGGTATATTTATTGCCTAACCAAAGAAGAATAGACTCATAATTGACCTTTGTTTAGAAAATAACTTCTCTTCCTTTCCATAAAATGACTTCTTTTTGGATAACCATATACAAATACTGCTTTACATTATGTTCCTTATCAAAACTTAAAGCAATTTATGCCTGTACAATACATTCATAATTTACAACACATTGGTACACTTTTGTATTGATATTTTACTGTAAACAGCCTATTTCCAACTTAGAGTCTATTATTATGTCTGAAAACAAGTGAAATGAGAGCATTCAAAGTTGGGATTAGTGAGCTCTGAGGCTCTTAGGAGCTGTAAAATGCCTTCTTAAAAAGACAAATCCCATATAGCACTGAATTACTCCAGTGACCTTGAGAACTTGCATGTTCTGTATTTCACATAATCTTATACACAGCTCTTGTTTATATATAAAGTTGAGAGACTTATATAGCTAATATATCTGCCTTATTTAAAATACATAACAATTTTCTTTATTTTCTGTTAAAGTTAAGTTTTATCATATTAAATACACTGAAATAAAAGCCTTTGCTACTATAATTTCTAATATTTTTGTAAGTATTCTGATAGGTGAACAGCAACATCCTTTCTCCCTTATGCACAATTACCACCTGAACTTTGTTTCTTATTTTAAAAGATATTTTCTAATTTATAATATCTAATTGTATGTTTAGATAAAAATTAAAAGAATATTTACTAATCAAAAAACTTTCCTCAAAAGTATATTTATTAATAGAATTTATTTTGAATAACCTCTTATGGATTTAGTATTTCAGAGTTTATCTCCACAATACTATGTAATGGAATTAATAAGAATATAAATTAAATAATAGCTAGATATACAAATCTAATAATGTAATCTAGTAATGCCACCTAATGCATTTACTCACTGGCCTTTGTAAGTTTACTTTAATGTGTCTGAAGTTCTAATATATGTATTTTTCAAAAATAAATAAATGTGCCCCTTAAAGTATTTTTTTTTTACAATACTAGACGATCAGAATGCATCAATGCTTTTATCTTTCATTTTATTAGATATATCCATATCTGTGTTTCTTAGGCTCTTTTACTCTCAGTTTTGGGGACGTTCTCATTAAATCAGCCTCTCATATTAAATCCATACTGTTGATAAAACTAAGAATAAACATAAGTTCTTTAGTCTTTCTCATGAAACTAGGAGAATTTTTCTAAAGTGTTCATAGATAAAACCACTGACCATTTTGAAAATGAGACCAATATTGAAATAAGAGATTCATTCTACTATAATGACATTAAACTTAATCTCCTATTTGAATTCACCCAGACCAAAGGTTTTTGTAATGAAAGACATTACAAAGTTAATGGTCAGCTGTTATTTTGGGGGCACATTTTCTAATAGAAGGTTAACAGATAAGTAGAAAAATCAATATTTAATTTTTCTGACAGTCCAAGGCAATTTAAATATTTTTTTCTGAATGTACGATATGGAAATGCACTCACATAAAACATAGTTTGAAGATTGGGAAGCTGGAACGAAGAGTCACGAATGCACTGAGGCATGGTACTGAGCAAAGTTTAGGAAAGAAAAAATTGATGAGATTATCTTTACAAGTGGAAGTTATACAATTGAACAAGGGGAAGTTATAGCAATGTCATGGGAATGCTTTAATGTAGAGTCTCACCCCAAATATTGAGGACCATCTGGTGGACCATCAGGCCTCTTTCTGGCTTATGACTTTAGTGATAGGAAAGGTAAGAAGAGCTTGGAAACTTAGATTTCAGTTCCCAGGTCAATAAGATAAAGACTCAGACAAAATTCTAACTTCAGGAAGAGAAAAGGTGCCACAGGGAAGCATCTTGGGATGTCAGAGTAGTCGCCGTGAGGGCATAAGCAGATGGCATTAGCTCATTTCTTCTTTAGAAAAACTTCCCTAGAGACTTTTGTTCATAGCCAAATTTCAAATGCTTTATTGGATATCTTTACAGTGTATCCAGTTTCCTGAATTTAAGAGCAGAGAGTCTATCCAGAGCTAGAGAAGAGAGAGACAATGGGAAAGGTGCTATCGAAGAGAGGAACAGAAACCAAGTAGGTGAGAGAATGTTCCATGGAGTTCAGGCTAGAAATGGGAAGAGCTGTCAACCGACAAGAACATGGTATACTTTTATTGTCAAAAACACATGGGAGCTTGTCATCTAAATTCATCTGCTCTAATCTTCAGAAGATGACAAGCACATCTTTCAGCCTAATTGTGTTCACCTGTCACCATATAGGTGGGAGGGCTCCCTGGGATTGCATGAATGGAATGGAGACTGGAGAAAAGTCATTACACTCAGTTCAAACAGCTGAAAAAAAGTTTTTTGCAAGGGTTAACATTAACAGTGTAGTTAGAATAATTCAGAATGCTAATAGAAATAAGAACAATGAAGATAATATTTTCCTAATTAATTAATTAACTCCTGCCAATCAGGCTTCTTCACAAATACCTTTAATTATGTAGTGGTGATATCTGTCCAACCAAATCATTTCCAGCTTTTAATTGCTCTGAATGTTGGAGAACTCTTAAACATACTGAGACAGAAGTTTCTTGCTGGGTCTTTTTATCGGCTATAATTATTATTATAATGTTTTACAAACACAAAAATTGGGCTACTGTGTTAGATTATTGTACGTATTTGGGAGAATAGACTAGTTGTAGAAGAGGAATTACTGGTAACGGATTTGTAAAATGCTCTTTCCTGGGAAGACAGGAGGAGAAGGAAATGCTCTCCTCTGGTCCTGATTCCTGATAAGTGGCTATCCACCCCGCCACCCCCAAAAGATGAAGACCTCTAGTTTCCATACCTGACTTAATCATATAGAATCAAGATCAGGTAGTCCAGACTGTGGTATGAATCCCACCAGCCCTTTGCTCACTAAGATTTCTTTCTTTCTTTTTTTTTTTTTTGAGACAGAGTCTCCCTCTGTCGCCCAGGCTGGAGTACAGTGGCGCAATCTCAGCTCACTGCAAGCTCTGCCTCCCAGGTTCACGCCATTCTCCTGCCTCAGCCTGCCGAGTAGCTGGGACTACAGGCACCCGCCACCACGTCCGGCTAATTTTTTTTTTTTTTTTTTTTTTTTGCATTTTTAGTAGAGACAGGGTGTCACCGTGTTAGCCAGGATGGTCTCGATCTCCTGACCTCGTGATCCGCCCGCCTCGGCCTCCCAAAGTGCTGGGATTATAGGCGTGAGCCACCACGCCCAGCCTGCTCACTGCGATTTCTAAGCATAACATGTAAAAATACAAATGTGAGTTTTGACTGAAAACAAAGGTAGCCCACCTATATTTCAAAACAGCCCAATAGGCTAGAAATACGTATTCATGTATTGCTTCTGCACATAATGATAGGATTAGAAGGCAAAGCCAGTTGCCCCAGTATAGATCACTGGGGATCACTGGTATCACTGGGGTCCAGCGTGGTGGAGTGTTGGCTTTCCTGTTGGCTAACCTTCCAGAGGGAGCAACAGATGAAGGATCTGCTGACCATTACGCTTTTGTGACATGTCAAGACCTCCTTTATGAAAATGTATCTTCCCCCTCAGGTTGTTCTCTGTTTCTTCTCTCTCTTCTTCATCAGGTCTTTATGTGCTATCGTCTTCAGCTTGCACTTCCTTTTCATCTAGTTTGCATATTGTGCTCTCTGTCCTAAGTAGGATAATCTTGACAGGAACTGTCAGTCACTGCTCAAGAGCCCTGCAGCTCCAAGGAGGTGCAGATGGATTTGGAGTTCATGGCTGTGTTCGCTGTTCTTTTGTAACTGTACATGAAATTTTAAGACACACAAATATATATTTGCACGTGTACCTTTTGAAGCGAAGATACTTGACTGCTTACATCTATTTATATAACATGTATTCTATGTGTTTATAAATAGTGCTTTTTTTCCCTTGTTCTGCTGTGAATAATTGTTTCCTTGTCAGATTCCAACATAGCTGCCTTTTGTGCTAATGACTCAAACAGGCAAAATAAATATCCATATTTGTTTTATTTTTTGAGAGATGTATTTTCTAAGTGTTTCTCACTGTCATGCAGTTAAAAGGCTTGTAGAATTACTTCATGGAAAGTATTTTTTAAGACTTTGCTTAAATTTGCTAGAACTGAAAATTCATATCAACATGTCAGACCCATTCTTCATGCTCCACTTTGCTTTATTTGGTTTAGAATTTCCAGGTCACTACAAAGCCAGTGGAAACTAGTTCTACAAATTTTACTTGTGAGGCTACTGAGTTGAATTTTAACTACTTTTAAAAAGGGTAGAGGCATCAAATACGTGTTACAAATGGACTAACTTCATGGCCAACTATTCATAAGAGATTAATTATAATTTGCAGCTAATATGCTGCCAACCTAGAGCTTTCACACGAGAAATGGTGCAGTACCTGATTTCACATGCACCTGATTTCACATGTCATGCTCTTCTTCAAGGGTCTAAGTGGTCATGTTTCTCCTTCCACCTGTGCATCCACCTACCAAGAAGCCAGAAAAAAAGGGATTGCCATTTGGGCACTTCATTTTATAAACTCCCCATCCTTTTGGATTACCTTTGCACATTTAAAAACATAAATATGTGCAATACATTCAAAAACCTTTCCAAGGAAAAGGTGCAACAGCAAAATGTGGCCAAAAAGCAACAGAATTTTCTGCACTATTTATATTTGGAAATGCGTGGTCTGGATGTCAAGTTGCAGCACCACTGTCACTCCGCATGACCCCTTGGTCCTAGTGCTCTTAGGAGCGAGGTATGGTGATAAAATTCCCTGGCAATATAACTAATTTTAAAAATCAGTTTGAAGTGTGCATTTTTGGAACAGTGAAAATCATTAATAATAACCAGAATTAACAGACATCTCTTTCTGTCTTAATGGCATTTAAATATGTCATTTAAATGCCAGTATAACATGAAAATCACTACTATTAATATAATTATAATTAAAATGGCTATCCTGTGCTATGTGCTGTGCCAAATTTATATATAAATATAAATACACATTTATTCATGCATATGAATTTAGTTTACATTGTAAATTTTTGAGGTTACACACACATATACATATATACATTTAAATATGTATATGTATATGTATATATGCACACACACACACACACACACATATATATATATGGTCTTTCCACTTTATTGAAGATAAAAACTGAATGAAAACAACATGACATTGGGCTCTTCAGAGATTTTATTATCTCCATTAATGAATGTGGAAATGGAGGCAAGAAAGGATACATGCTCATCTAAGCGCTGGCATCTAGGCGGCTGCAGAGCCGGCACCCAGCTCCTGGAGGTCCGTAGACACAACTGGTAACTCCTCTCACACCCCACAGTCTTCATGAAAATTGTCCCCTCATACTTCCTAATGTGATCACTTGGATCAGTCCTCTTGGAAAACATTAAAGTAAAGGCATAAGACAACCTGGCTCACAAACTAGAATGGCTGATCTAAAGAGATCACTCTAAGGACAAAATGGGTTTGGCATTGACTAAGTGCTGCACAAGTGACTGCCTTAGGCAGGGAGCTATGGCAGCAGGAGCTGACAAAGTGGACTGCATACACAGGCCAACTCCTACCTCCTGAGGGTTTCAAACTGCTGAAAAGCCAAGTAATTATTTCAGGTGAACTACAGATATAATTAGGGAGCAAAAAGTGCAGGCATAAAGAAGATTTATATCATCCTAGAAAGAAATACATTCATTTGAAGAAGCATCTTGACAAAGATCTCAGATATACAAAAGAAAAAGCTTATTCATGGAGTTACTTTAAGTGAAATTGCACAAAGAATAAGACTTGTGACATCAGAAAGATGGAACTCTTTCAGTTAGAAACCATGAAAAGTAAGTGGCCTGAAGACTTTGTGGATAAGAATATGCATTCAATAATGGAGTCATATCAAAAAAAAAAGATAAAATAACTGCCCAGACCAATATCATAGAGATTTTTTCCTATATTTTGTTCTAGAAGTTTCATAAAATTTGGTCTTATATTTAAATTTTTAATCCATTTTTAGTTAAGGTGTGAGATAGGGGTTAATTTCATTCTTTTGTATGTGTATATCCAGTTTTACTAACATAATTTATTAAATAGAATATCTTTTTCTAAAATAGAATATCTTTTTCTAATAGTGTGTTCTTGGTTCTTTTGTTGAAAATCAATTGGCTGCCAATTTGTGGATTTATTTCTGAACTCTCTATCCTGTTCCATTAGTTTATGTGTCTGTTTTAATGCCATTACCATGTTGTTTTGCTTTGGTTACTATAGTTTTTTTTTTATTATGTTGATTAATTTTTATTTTATTTTATTTTATTATTATTATACTTTAAGTTTTAGGTTACATGTGCACAATGTGCAGGATAGTTACATATGTATACATGTGCCAAGCTGGTGTGCCACACCCATTAACTCGTCATTTCGCATTAGGTATATCTCCTAATGCTATCCCTCCACCCTCCCCCAACCCCACAACAGTCCCCAGAGTGTGATGTTCCCCTTCCTGTGCCCATGTGTTCTCATCGTTCAATTCCCACCTATGAGTGAGAACATGCGGTGTTTGGGTTTTTGTCCTTGCGATAGTTTACTGAGAATGATGATTTCCAGTTTCATCCATGTCCCTACAAAGGACATGAACTCATCATTTTTTATGGCTGCATAGTATTCCATGGTGTATATGTGCCACATTTTCTTAATCCAGTCTATCATTGTTGGACATTTGGGTTGGTTCCAAGTCTTTGCTATTGTGAATAGTGCCGCAATAAACATACGTGTGCATGTGTCTTTATAGCAGCATGATTTATAGTCCTTTGGGTATATACCCAGTAATGGGATGGCTGGGTCAAATGGTATTTCTAGTTCTAGATCCCTGAGGAATCGCCACACTGAATTCCACAATGGTTGAACTAGTTTACAGTCCCACCAACAGTGTAAAAGTGTTCCTATTTCTCCACATCCTCTCCAGCATCTGTTGTTTCCTGACTTTTTAATGATTGCCATTCTAACTGGTGTGAGATGGTATCTCATTGTGGTTTTGATTTGCATTTCTGTGATGGCCAGTGATGATGAGCATTTTTTCATGTGTCTTTTGGCTGCATAAATGTCTTCTTTTGAGAAGTGTCTGTTCATATCCTTCGCCCACTTTTTGATGGGGTTGTTTGTTTTTTTCTTCTAAATTTGTTTGAGTTCATTGTAGATTCTAGATATTAGCCCTTTGTCAGATGAGTGGGTTGCAAAAATTTTCTCCCATTATGTAGGTTGCCTGTTCACTCTGATGGTAGTTTCTTTTGCTGTGCAGAAGCTCGTTAGTGTAATTAGATCCCATTTGTCAATTTTGGCTTTTGTTGCCATTGCTTTTGGTGTTTTAGACAGTTTTGCAGTATATTTTAAAGTGAGGTAGTGTAATGCCTCCAACTTTATTTTTTATGTTCAAGATTGCTTTGGCTAATTGGTATAATTTTGTGATTCCAAATGAACTTTAGAATTGTTTATTCTTTCTATTAAAAATGCTATCTAAATTTTGATAGAATATTATCAAATGTGTATATCACTTGCATAGTATAGAAATTTTAATTACATTAATTCTTCCAAACCATGAACATGAGATATATTCCCATTTATTTCATCTTCCTCAAGATGTTTTCTTTTCTCCCTTTCTCTCTTTCTTTCTTTTTCTTTCTTTTTTTTTTTTTTTTTGACAGAGTCTTGCTCTGTAGCCCAGGCTGTATTGCAATGGCATGATCTCTGCTCACTGCAACCTCCACCTCCAGGGTTCAAGCCATTCTTACGCTTCAGCATCCCAAGTAGCTGTGATTACAGGCGTGCACCACCACGCCCAGCTAACTTTTTGTATTTTTAGTAGAGATGGGGGTTTGCCATGTTGGCTAGGCTGGTCTTGACCTCCTGGCTTCAAGTCATCTGTCCGCCTCAGTCTCACAAAATGCTGGGATAACAGGTGTGACCCACCACATCCAATCCATCTTCCTCAATTTATTTCATTGATGTTTTATAGTTTTCAGTATACAGTGTTTCATTTCATGGTTGAATTTATTTTAAAGCATTTTTCATAGCTATTTTAAATGAAATAATTTTCTTTGTTTTTCAGATCGTTTGCTGTTAACACATAGAAATGCTGCTGACTTTTGTATCTTGAATTTGTATCCTATAACTTGACTGTATTCGTGTATTGCTTTGTATAGTTTTTTGGTGGAGTGGACTGTCTATATTTAAGATAATGTGGTCTTCAGACAGTTAAATTCAACTTTTTCCTTTCCAATTTGGATGCCTTTTATTTTCCTCTTGCCTAATTGCTCTAAGACTTCCAGAATGTGTTTAACAGAAATAGCAAGAGGAGACTTCCTTGTCTTGTTCCAGATCTTAGAAGGACAGCTTTCAACTTTTCCTTGGTGCATATTAGGTTAGTCATCAGTTTATGATATATAACCTACATTAAAATTTTTCCAAACTGACCTACCTGCTTCCAGTATTATCACTTCCTAGGTATTCTGCAAAGTGGTACCACATTTGTCTTTCTTATAAAAAGTTTGATTTTGCACTCACTTCTGCAAATTAAATATATGCACACATATGTATACACACGCACATATATACACACACACAGACACACAAACACACACATACATACCACACAAACACACACACACACACACATACACACACACACTCTTTATCTTGTCTTAGGTGGCTTTTCATGATCTGATACCTACTTTTCTCTTCAACTTCCCTTCTTGACTTTTTTCTCCTTGCACTAATTCAATACCACTCTTTGAAGAGTATTTGCCTCAGATGTATTTCCTTGTCCATCATCTCTCTACACCCAATCAAATAAACTCATTTTTCAAGGGTCTTAAGATAGGTGACCTCTTTAAACTCTTCCTTTACTCCAGATTTTGCATCCTCATGTTAGCTCTTTAAACACATTCCGTGAATAATTTTGTTACTGTATTTGCTAAATTATACTGAGTTGTATCTGCTTAGGTTTCTGTTTCTTTCAATAATATCTGAGTGCTAAAAAGGCTAAGATTACTTTATTCGTTTGTTTCTCAGATTAGCAAGGGATCTGACACACAGTAAACATTCAATACTTGCTAACTGAACAAATGGATACATGACAAAAATACATAATAGCTGAAAACCACAACAATCCATTGAATGCTTACTCAGTGTGAATGGATGAGCCAGTCACTGCAGGTATAAATACCAATGGGGAAGGTAATTGAAGCATTTATGTAAAGGTTTAAATGCTTCAATAAATTTTTTTTATTTATTTAAAATATGTTCCCAACTGAATGTGAACTTTGGTTAATTTGTACTCTATTATTAACTATGCTTTTTTCTTAGAATTGTCATCTAGGGTTTTCTAGATGTCATTGTATAAAAATCACAGAGACGAAAACAATTTTATTATGCGAGAAAATCCCTGCAAGCATCAAGTCTCAAGCTCATTATTTATTTACTTGTGGAGGATGTAATATTTTCTCTAAAGAACTGCCAACTCATTTAAGGACCTTAAATCCATTGCTTAAAATTAGCCTACAAACCAGGGATTGGGACCTGCAGGAATCAAATTTGGCTTAAGACAAACCTGGGTCTAGTCGCATTAAAACAACAAAGGAACAGGAAGAAACAGACACACTGATCTTCCCATTCCAGGCAAGTGATCCTGACCACCCTTAAGCATTGTTGCTAGACAGTTGTCTTAGTGACAGCTATGTATAATTGTAAGACCACTGTGGTTTGTAACAGAAATGGCATGTTTGTGAAAGATGAAATATTTTGGTACTTGAGATTTCCAAGAATTAAAAAGTTTTCTGAAATATATTGCAAAGTTGTTGATGTAGCGTGGACAGAATCATCATTGTATTGAGAGTCATTGGCTTTAGAAACTGATGGTGTGATCTTGAGCAGTTATTTAAGCTTTCTGAGCTTTAAATCATAATCTGGAAGATCACCTCCTTCTCTTAAAGACTATAATTGAAATGATATTACTCTTGTATTAAACACACACACACACACACACACACACACACACACACACACACACCAAAAAACGAACTAGCCGGGCATGGTCACTTATGCCTGTAATCCCAGCACTTTGGGAGACCAAGGAGGGTGGATCGCTTGAGCCCAGGAGTTGAAGACCCACCAGGGCAACATGGTGAAACCCTGGCTCTACAAAAAATAAAAACATTATCTGGGCATGATGGTATGCACCTGTCCCAGCTACTCAGGTAGCTGAGTTCGGGGAATTGCTTAAGCCCCGGAGGTCAAGGCTGCAGTAAGCCACGATGGCACCACTGTACTCTAGCCCAGATGACAGAGCATGACCCTGTCTCAAAACATAAAAATCAAGAGAAAAGAAAAGCTTGAAGATAATAAGTATTTGGAAGTTAGAAATCGAGATGATAAAATGTTCCTTCGAATATTAAAGCTGTGTGTGTTCTTACTGTTATCATTACAAATTAATTCTTAAACTCATCCACTCCTTTCCTATACCCAAAATAAGATGTGATTAAATACCCTTCCCCAAAACAAAGCAATGAATATTTTTGTATCTTTTGAGAACAGCTAAATCATTTATAATGCAATATGGATTATAAAGAAACATGATGTCTAGTTTGTGTCAAAAAGGAAATATGTACCTCTAAAAATATAAAGTGACATGTGAAGAGAAAATTCCTCCTGAATATTGTGAGTTTCTTCTCCCTGCTAATTTTGGAGGTGTTACCACACTTAAAACCTGCCTTCATTCAAGACGCACTGATTGCCAGTGTTGGAATCAGATGGCGCAGATAGAAGTGTGATGAGTGTGTACCAATAACATATTCTAAAATGATTTTTACTAAAAATACCCTTTGTAAGACTGAATTAACAACCACAGTTCCCAGTTTATAGATGAGATATAAACAGAGAATATATTTTGAAATTTTTATTGCAAATTTGTATGGAAATTGGATGTTCTAATGAAGATGGTTGTACAAGGCAATATTCTAGTTGGACAGCTTGGCTGCAAGGGAAGTAAACCAGGAGAGGAGTGGGTGGCAAATATGATCCTTTATCACCTGTGACTTTGTGCAAAACACTTAACAACTCTATCAGTAAGTAGGCCAAGTCACCCTAGATTCAACATTCGCTCTGTCTTACATGGTTGGCTCTGAGAATGCGCTGTAATCAGTACTGTAACTAGGTTGTTATACCTGGGCATTTGCAACCTAGGAACAATAGGTAGGAAGACAGCATTCAGCGAATTCTTTTTTAAATATATTTTATGTTATTATTATTATACTTTAAGTTTTAGGGTACATGTGTACAACGTGCAGGTTTGTTACATAGGTATACATGTGCCATGTTGGTGTGCTGCACCCATTAACTCGTCATTTAACATTAGGTATATCTCCTAATGCTATCCCTCCCCCCTCCCCCCACCCCACAACAGACCCCGGTGTGTGATGTTCCCCTTCCTGTGTCCATGTGTTCTCATTGTTCAATTCCCACCTACGAGTGAGAACATGTGGTGTTTGGTTTTTTGTCCTTGTGATAGTTTGCTGAGAATGATGGTTTCCAGCTTCATCCATGTCCCTACAAAGGACGTGAACTCATCCTTTTTTATGGCTGCATAGTATTCCATGGTGTATATGTGCCACATTTTCTTAATCCAGTCTATCATTGTTGGACATTTGGGTTGGTTCCAAGTCTTTGCTATTGTGAATAGTGCCGCAATAAACATACGTGTGCATGTGTCTTTATAGCAGCATGGTTTATAATCCTTTGGGTACATACCCAGTAATGAGATGGCTCGGTCAAATGGTATTTCTAGTTCTAGATCCCTGAGGAATCGCCACACTGACTTCCACAATGGTTGAACTAGTTTACAGTCCCACTAACAGTGTAAAAGTGTTCCTATTTCTCCACATCCTCTCCAGCACCTGTTGTTTCCTGACTTTTTAATGATCGCCATTCTAACTGGTGTGAGATGGTATCTCATTGTGGTTTTGATTTGCATTTCTCTGATGGCCAGTGATGATGAGCATTTTTTCAAAGCTGGAGGCATCACGCTACCTGACTTCCAACTATACTGCAAGGCTACAGTAACCAAAACAGCATGGTACTGGTACCAAACCAGAGGTATAGACCAGTGGAACAGAACAGAGCCCTCAGAAATAATGCCGCATATCTACAACTATCTGATCTTTGACAAACCTGAGAAAAACAAGCAATGGGGAAAGGATTCCCTATTTAATAAACGGTGCTGGGAAAACTGGCTAGCCATATGTAGAAAGCTGAAGCTGGATCCCTTCCTTACATCTTATACAAAAATTAATTCAAGATGGATTAAAGACTTACATGTTAGACCTAAAACCATAAAAATCCTAGAAGAAAACCTAGGCAATACCATTCAGGACATAGGCCTGGGCAAGGACTTCATGTCTAAAACACCAAAAGCAATGGCAACAAAAGCCAACATTGACAAATGGGATCTAATTAAACTAAAGAGCTTCTGCACAGCAAAAGAAACTACCATCAGAGTGAACAGGCAACCTACAGAATGGGAGAAAATTTTTGCAATCTACTCATCTGACAAAGGGCTAATATCCAGAATCTACAATGAACTCCAACAAATTTACAAGAAAAAAAACAAACAACCCCATCAAAAAGTGGGCGAAGGATATGAACAGACACTTCTCAAAAGAAGACATTTATGCAGCCAAAAAACACATGAAAAAATGCATTCAGCGAATTCTAAAGTCCTGCAGTACCAATAGCTTTTATAACTCTGTAGTAAACCCATGTTAGTTTCATGTCATTCCCCAACAGCAGGGCTCTCTGCTCTGCCTGTTATCCCATTCTCAAGATGCCAAGCAGATTAAGAGCCACAGAATCACAAACACCTGCTTGGTAGTGGGAAATGCCCCTGCAGACCAAGAAAATATTCTTGTTCTCATGGAGAAAGCATGTTTGAGGTCTTTCAAATCCTCCCTTCGGAAAAGTAAATTCTCCCTCAGTTACCCTACTGAAGTACTTATATATGTTCAACTGGCTTTATTTTCTAGTACACATTCTGTGGTCTTCTCAATGGTAGGAACCACTTAACTTCAGGCCTGGCATAAAATAGTGCACAATGAATAGAGAAAAAGGAGAGTGAGAAGAAGAAAAGAAAGTAAGAGAAAAATGCAAAAATGAGAATATGGAGAGAGGAAAGAAGAAATTTAAGAAGAAAATACTTTAGTTTTGATGCCCAAATTGCCATTTGTTTTCCCCAAATTTCTCTTTCCTTTCTGCTTGTAATATCAGAAATATCCCAAAATAACATCTGTGTAAAAAGATCTTTTAAAAACCCTTTGTATGTCAATTACCAGATTTAATTTTAAGCAATATAGCAACACTATGCTGTATGCTATGCTATAGGTATTGTAGGGAAGGTAAGTATTATCTTCTTTATAAATAAAGAGACAAAAGCTCATGGAGTGTAACATTGGGTTACATATGCTGTGCTACTTGTGTCTATTTAGCCTTCAAGGTTCTTTTTCATCTCATCTCCATCAGGATGTTCAAACCAAAGTCCCAGATCACAATACTTCATTGAATATCTGAACAAACAATTTTAAAAAGAAAATTTAGTTCTGTTCCAAATATTGTTTCTTAGCTTTAATTATGTTTTGTATATATATCTTTTCTCCATCTAGATAACAAATCCCTAGGTTATGCCATATTTCCAAACAGCTAACAAAATCTGATAAGAAAAAGGTACTGAATAAATAGTCATTCTTTGATTGTTAAAACAGAGAGCAAAACGTGATAGAGAACTATGAGGGAAAGGTATACAATTTAAATCTATTCTGATTCAAATGCTTAACAGGGGCGTGGACACCAGCATGTTTTAAAGTTCAGTGAGGGTTTGCTCCCTTACTTATCTCTACTTTGGGCATATATCAATATCCATATACATATGCAAAGATTTAAAGTATGTTTAATCTCTGCCTTATGCTATAGGTTGAGTGTCTAATCCACAAATCTGAAATCCAAAATGCTCCACAATCCGAAAATTTTTGAGTGCTGACATGGCAACACAAGTGGAAAATTCCACATCTGACCTCATGTGACAGGTCTTAGTCAAAATGCAGCCAAATCTTTGTTTCATGAACAAAATTATTAAACATATTATTTAGAATTACCTTCAAGCTACGTGTATAAGGTGTATCTGAAACATAAATAAGTTTTGTATTTAAACTTGGGTCCCACCCCCAAGATATTTCATTACATATATCCAAACATTCCAAACATTCAAAGAAATATAAAATCCAAAACAGTTCTGTTCCTAAGCTTTTTCAGATAAGAGATACTCAACCTGTATTATAGTTGTGTCCCATGATTCTCTCTTTAACTGTGTCTTCTATTTGGCTATCAGCATGTTCTTTCTATAATTATTTCTGCAATTCTCTCTTGCTTCAATATTCTCAATGTTACCGAGTGGGTAAAGGATATTTTAAATCCTTTGTTTATCATCCATAGAACTTGCCATTCTCAAAATATTTAACCTATTTCTACGCTTCTCTGCCTTCTTCCTGTGCCCAAGATATTTTTCATTATTTGGGAAACTTTTTCTATTCTTAAAGGTCAAACTTAAGTGTCCCTTTTTTTCCTAAAGATTTCTCTGGGCAAATTTTATCATTTTTCTCCTGTAATATAGAACTTGGTATAGGCCTTTATCATTCATCTTTTTTCTCTGGACAGATTAATACTGTGCTTGAAATATCATCCATCCTCAGTAGCTATACGTAAGTATATAAAAAGTGAACAAATTAACTAATTAATTAAGCAGTTTTCCCTTATTCGTGTCTCATTTTTATATGCCATGGAATGATAATTTCTTTAGAAAATACTGAGTCCCTTTTAAGTGATAACATTCTAAGTAACTACATTACTAGGATGATAAAAAGGTTAGTGTAGTATAGTGAATTGTTTCTTACCCATCCTGCAAAGAATTGGGTTTAGCAAAATCAAGTAATGTTGAAGAAGATTACACACTGTATGTCCTATGTCTCTTCAGATGTGTCCATTAGTACATAAAAGGCTAGATAAGGCTTACAGTAGTGAACATGTTTAATTTCCTTACACTTTTTTTTTTTTGATACAGGGTCTCCCTCTTTCACCTAGGATGGAGTACAGTGATGCAATTACAGCTCACTGTAGATTCAACTTCCTGATCTCAAGCAATCCTCCCACCTTGGCCTAGCTAGTAGCTGAGACTACAAGCACACACCACAATGCCCAGCTAATTTTATGATTATTTTGTAGATATAGGGTCTTGCTATATTGCCCAGGCTGGTCTCAAACTCCTGGACTTAAGCAACCCTCCCACCTCTGCTTTCTAAAGTACTGGGATTACAGGCATGCACCACTGTGCCTGTCCTCATTAATTTCTACATCTGTTTAAGTATGTTATAATTGTTTCATATTACCCACATTAATGTGTAAAAGTCACACCAAAAATTTTTCTTTATTAATGTAAAGAAAAGACCAATTAAGTTGCCTTTAAGTTTTTAGTTAAGAAAGAAAATTAGACTGATAGATTCTAAGCTCTTATGTGAGCCAACGTTGGCTTAGGTACAGCTCATCTCATAAGGTAATTAACAACTCTATGAGGGACTCAAGACTGACCACTATAAAGAACAGGTGACCTAAAGAGAGGCAGAGAAACTCAGGAATTACTCAAAGTCACCAACTTTTAATTGGGGAGACTGGAATTGGTTGCTATTGTTTTAGATCCTGTTCCATTTGATATAGAGGTTGTTTTTGTTTATTTTCATGTTGCATCTCATATTTTAACAGTTTCCAGTGTGTCTTTGCATTTTAAAGTAATTTATTTGCATTTGCTATGTTTTTTCTTTTTTTTTTCAGAAACAATCCAAATTAAGAGCCATTCTGGCTTTTTTTATTTTCCAGAAGGGCAAAACTACATTAGGCACAAAAACATTTTTTTTTTAAAAACTGTGGAATTATTGCTTACAGAAGAAAAAGTGAAAACCAAGCATTTTATAAAGCTTCAGAATAATATGCTTAAGATATTAAAAACAATGGGAACCGCATTTCAAACTTTGATGAGATTAAAACAAATTATAAATTCAGCATCTAAACAACATGCCTGTTGGGGATTACCTAGAGTGGAAATAATTTTTCTGTATAATAATAATTTTAATAAAACATACTGGGGAAGGCAAAGTTTTCAAGCTTAAACATTAATGGTGGAGATAATATGAAAGCTTTGATTATATTTGCATTTTTCTTTGAAAGTCTCTGCACTAAAATCACATTTGAAAGTAATATGTAAAAAGAAATAATACGTTTAAAATAATACAAAATAATATGTAACAAGAATAAAATTCCAGTTAAAAGCCTTACTGGGTTTACTTTATTTTTGGAAAAATAAATTTTTTCTTAGTCTTCTTGTGGCCATATATTCTCTGGCTGTGTCAGTCAAAGCCCAGCCTTCACCTGCGAACCTGCTGGACCATGCTGTACACACAGGTGAGATGCAGCAACTCTAGAGAAGCCACTTGAAAGAAAGAAAGCACGCCAGGGGGTGGTGAAGGTCTTCATTCCTATTGATCTCTAGTCCCATACCAGTGCAGCTGGCAAATAAATTTGGAAAAAAATAAGTTTTAGGGGTCAGCAGTCCCCTGAAGAGCAGAATGGAGCGGAATGGAGAAAGGAAAGGCAAAAAATAGATCTGTGAGCAAACTCGTAAATGAGCAGCATACTTCCCTATCATTATAAAATTACTGTTCTGATCAATACGTGCTCATGATAGTAATAATCTGCATGTACCTAGAACTTTACAAAGCATAATTACATTTTCATTAATTTGTCCTGATAAATATGTGAGGTCATTGTCATTAACAAGCAAACATGCTCGGAGAGGGGATTTGATTTATATAAGATCACGCAGAGGTAGAGAGTGTAGGATCTTAATCCAGACCAATCTCTCCTCTCTCTGCCTGTGCTTCTCTCACACACACACATCTCTATCTATTAGAGATCAATATCTCTATTCTCTCTCTCTCTCTCTGTCCCCCCCACCCACACATCTTTATCTCCATCTTTATCTGTATCATCTCTCTTTCTAAGAGTAATATTTTATGCTATCTCGTTTACTAATGGCCAAGAAGCATATGAAAAAATACTTAACATCAGTAATCATAAGAAAAAATGCAAATTAAAACCACAATGAGATATCATCTTATAGCAGTCAGACTGGCCATTTTTCAAAGGTCAAAAAGTAATACGTGTTGGTGAGGGTGCAGAGAAAAGAGAATGTTTATACATCGTAAACATTGGGAATGTAAAATAGTACAACCTCTGTGGAAAACAGTGTGAATATTTCTCAAAGAACTAAAAATTGAACCACCATTTGATTCAGCAATCCCATCACTGGGTATCTATCCAAAGGAAAAGAAATCATTATATCAAGAAGATAACTGTGGCCGGGCGCGGAGCTTATGCCCGTAATCCCAGCACTTTGGGAGGCTGAAGCAGGTGGATCACGAGGTCAGGAGTATGAGACCAGCCTGACCAACATGGTGAAACCAAGTCTCTACTAAAAATAAAAAGATTAGCCGGGCGTGGTGGGGCGCGCCAATAATCCCGGCTACTCAGAAGGCTGAGGTAGGAGAATCGCTTGAACCCGGGAGGCGGAGGTTGCAGTGAGCCAAGGTGGCATCACTGCACTCCAGCCTGGGTGACAGAGTGAGACTCCGTCTGAAGAAAAAATAAAAATAAAAATAACTGCACTTGCATGTTTATCACAGCATAATCCACAATAACAAGATGGGGAATCAATCTAAATGTCCATCAATGTATGACTGTATAAAGAAAATGATATACATGTATATATGTGTACAATGGAATACTATTCAGCCATAAAAAAGAATAAAAACATATATTTTGCTGCAATATGGATGGAAATGGAGGCCATTATCTTAAGTGTAACAACTCAAAAACAGAACGTCAAATAAGATGTTTTCTCACACTTGTAAGTAGGAGATAAATAATGTGTACACATGGACACAGAGAGTGGAATAATAGACACTGGAGACTCAGAAGGGTGGAAGAGTGGGAGGGGATGGAAAATTATTTAATGGGTACAGTGTACTTTATTCAAATAACATTAGGCTAAAGCCTGGACTTCACCACTATGCACTATATCCATGTAAGAAAATTGCCCTTGGCCCCTTTAATTTCAACAAATACAAAATTAAATAGGGCCGGTCGTGGTGGCTCACGCCTGTAATCCCAGCACTTTGAGAGGCCAAGTCGGGCGGATCACCTGAGGTCAGGAGTTAAAGATCAGCCTGGCCAACACGGTGAAACCCCATCTCCACTAAAAATACAAAAATGAGCTGGGCATGGTGGTGCACACCTGTAATCCCAGCTTCTACGGAGGCTGACGCAGGAAAATCGCCTGAATCCAGGAGACAGAGGTTGCAGTGAGCCGAGATAGCACCACTGCACTCTAGCCTGGGTGACAGAATGAGACTCTGTCTCAAAAAAAAAACACTTAAATAATATTTATAATGCTATAAATATATCTCAATGAACTGTTTTAGCTTCATTTAACAATTTTTGTTTTGTTGCATTTTTATTTATTATAGCTGATCTTATTTTCTTATTTCCCTTGTGATTTATTTTCAACATGAGTTGTTTAAAATATATGGTTTTATTTCATGTTACAGAATTTTCTTTCTCTTACTAACTGATAGTTTAAGTGTATTCAGAGAACATACTGAAAATAATACCAATTATGTTAAATGTATTTTGTTTTACAGACCAACAAGTTATCTGTATTTTTGTATATTCTATATGCATGTAAAAATGTATATTCTTTGTTGTTAAGTGAAATATTTATAAATGTCAATTATTTTAAGTTGATTGATACTATGGCTTATGTCTTTGCTATTGTTATTGATTTTGTCTATTGTCCTGTCAAGGAATCTTGAAACCTTCAACTATAATTCTGGGTTTCCTTATTTTTTCCTTTTATTTGCATCATTTCTTGCTTCAAGTATTTTAAATCTATGTCAGTAAGTACATGTAGAGTTAGAATGATTATACCTTTACTTTGTCATTGTAAAATGTTCTTTTAATCATTGGTGATATTTCCTTTTCTGAAATATATTTTCTTCTAATCTTAATATAGCCATCCCAATGTAGTTTGATTAGTGTTTCTATAGTGGTTTTATTTTCATATTTTCATTTATAATCTATCTACACCTTTATGTATAAAGTAGAATTATTTTACGGATAATACAGTCTGACAATCTCTGCTTTATAATAGAAAGCTTAAATTATTTCATTACTTATTTATTGAGCATAAATTTACCATCTTTCCATTATTATTTATTTATTTATTTATTTTTTGGGCCCAATCTCATTTTGTTCCTTTACCCTTCTCGTATTGCTTTCTTTGGGGCTGAGTATATATCTATATTTCATTTTGTATATTATCTTATTAACTATAATTTTATATTTTTCTAGCATTTAATATATTATGTCTTATCATAGTTTAACTTAAATAACATTATGTAACTTTAGGATTTCAGGCATAATAGAAAAACTTACAACGCTATTATTACAACCTCTTTCACCTTGTTTGAGTCATTGATACATTTATTTTACTTCTATATATTATATAAAAGCTACAGTGCATTGTAATTGATTTTGCTTGAAAAAGCATTGTTTGTTCCTTTCATTTCTTTATTGTGGGGAAATACACATCATATTTACTGTCTTAACTATTTTCAAGTTTGTAGTTCAGTGGTATTAAGTACATAGGTAGGAATGTTTTAACTGCTGGGACTTAAGTTTATAAAATGGAGAAAACAACATATGTATCATAGAGTTGTGGGAGAATAAAAAGAAAATATGTCAAATCTTTAGCATTTTATTTATTATTATTATTGTTATTATTATTATTTTGAGATAGAGTTTCACTCTTGTCACCTGGGTTGGAGTGCAATGGCACAATCTCGGCTCCCTGCAACCTCTGCCTCCTGGGTTCAAGTGATTCTCCTGCCTCAGCCTCCCGAATAGCTGGGAGTACAGGAGCTTGCCATCATGGCCAGCTAATTTTTTTAAGCATTTTATTAAGCTGGTATGATTTTTATTCACCCAATGACAGGTACTAAAATTATAGACACAATGCCTAAAATAAAATGCTCATCATTTTAGTTTCTAAACTATTATTAAGACTATCACAAAATTTTCTTTGACTACTTTTTCTCAGTTTTGAGCTCCTAGCATTTTTAATTTTATGATTTATATGAAATATAGTATAAATGCCTTGACATATTTTGTATGATTGTCTAATATTATTTTATTTAATGTGTATATATCTTGTCTCTGTATCTAGTTATTGAGTTCAAATACAAATTGATTGTAATCTTACTTTGCATAGCTATAATCCTCTGAATGATATCTAATAACGTATTTCTCAAAGTGTTTTTCTGGAAACACCAGTCCCTGGTGAGGCTTTCTCTGAAAGAGATTCTGTAGTCAAATCTAAGTTTAGCAAGTTTTATGTGCTGTGAGTTTTATAGGTTCATAACATTTGTTAACTGATTAAAACTTTTGGCATACAGCTGTCCTTATAAGTAATGGAATCTCATGATTTATGGGCTTTTTAAATTGTTTCATTGTTTTCATAATTTATACATTTTATTAAGTTAATAAAACTAATTTTATAAGTAATATAACAAACTATTTTATTTTGCCTCTCCAAATGTACCAAAAAATTGTATTTTGATTCAAAGATCTTACTTGACATTAAGCTAAAAACCATATATCCTTTGATAATAAACTTACCTTCTAGTTTACCACTTTACTTAACATTAGGAGAGGCAAAGAAGGAGAAGGTAAAGCAGGATAAGAGCAATTTCCTCTTTATGGGAGACTCTGTGTTATATGTAAAATTAGTGTTTATTGGATTGAATGTAAATATTTACTGTATGCAATCTATCACATTATAAAGCAACACATAGAAAATGTGTTTTTCTAAGGGTTTCATTTTGCTACTGTTATGTAATTAGCAATGTCCTCAACAGTGTCACTGCAGTATCGTTACAATCAGCAACATTAATGATGACTCTATGTATAAACTGAAAACACTACACCAGTGCACAGTTCACTTAAAGCAAAGAGACTAGCTTTTATGGTATTACTTTCTATACGTATAGTTGATTCATAATTTTATGTGATATAATAAAAATATACTATATTGGACAAAGAAAAGCTTGATTTGCCATTTTTCAGTTATGTGACCTTGACTAGTTTACTTAACTCTACTCATAGGTTTCAATTTCCACATCTACTAAGTCATGGAGTTGGATTTCACCTGTAATTCTTCATTAAAGCCAAATACCAAGAAACTGGCCATAGTGAAAATGAATAGTTATGCCAAAATAGGGTCTAATCTAAACCATCATTGGCAAAGGTAGCTTTTTGTTGGTAGTATTACTTGATTGAGGTAATTAGTCATAAGAAGTAAATATGAAAGGTACTTAAATTTAAATAACTTGAAATTTTGGGTATTATATGTCTTCAGTATGTGACATGGATACATATGCTGGCAACTTAAAATTTTACCTCATTTTTATTGACATATAATAGATGTTACATATTTGGGGATACATGTGATAATTGAATGCATTCATATAATTATAAATATTTGTATTTTCTTTATGCTAGAAACCTTCAAATTATTCTCTTCTAGCTATTCTAAAATATGCAATAGATTATTGTAAAATATAGTCACCCTACTGATTTATCCAATACTAGGTCTTATTTTTTCTGTCAAACTATATTTGTTTACCCATTAGACAACCTCTCTTCATCTGCGTCTCCCCCCAATCTTTCTAACCTCTAGTAACTACCAGTCTACTCTCTACCTTCATGAGATCCACTTTTTTAGCTCCCACATATGAGTGAGAGCATGCAATGTTTCTTTCTTTGCTTAGTTTATTTATAACAACTTCTAGTTCTTTTATATTGCTGAAAATGATAGGATTTCATTCTTTTTATGACTGAATAATATTTTGTATATATATATACATATATATGTATATATATTTATATATATTTTGTATATATGTGTGTGTATATATATATATTACATATTTTTTATGCATTCACCCATTGATGAACATGTAGGCTGATTTCATATTTTGGTTATTGTGAATAGTGCTGCAATAAACATGGGAGTGCAGATAATTTCTTCAACATATTGATTTTGTTCCTTTTAGATACTTATGTAATAGTGGAATTGCTGGATCATATGGTAGCTTTATTCTTAATATTTAAAGAAAGCTCCATACAGTTTTCCACAGTGGCCATAATAATTTACATTTCCACCAAAAGTGTATGAGTGTTCCCCTTTTATCACATCCTCGCCAGCATCTGCTAGCTCCTGTCTTTTTAATAGAAACCATTTTAACTGAGATGAGATGATATCTCATTGTGGTTTTGATTTACATTTCTCTGATGATTAGTGATGTTGAGCATTTTTCATATACCTATCAGCTATTTATATGTCTTCTTTTGCAAAATATTTATTCAGATCATTTTTTCATTAAGTTATCAAATTATTTGGGTTTTGCTATTGAGTTGTCTGAGTTCCTTACATATTTTGGTTATTAATCCCTTGTCAGATGAATAGTTTGCAAATATTTTCTCCCATTTTGTAGGATGTTTCTTCATCTGATGATTGTTTCCTTTGCTGTGCAAAATTTTTTGGGATATAATTTCATTTGCCTATATTTATTTTTGTTGACTGTGCTTTTGCAGTTTATCCATAAAATCTTTGCCTAGACCAGTGGCCTGAAGTGTTTCCCCTATGTTTTCTTCTAGAAGTTTCATAAATAGGGGTGTAACATTAAGTTATTTAATCCATTGTGGTTTGATTTTTGCATATAGTGAGATATAAGAGTCTAGTTTCAGTCTTCTGCATATAGTTATCCAGTTTCGCAGTACCATTTATTAAAGAGATATTTCCATTCTATTGTATGTTTGTGATGCCTTTGTCAAATATCAGTTGGCTGTAAGTTTGTGGATTTGTTTCTGAACTTTTTATTATTTTCCTGCGGCCTATGTATCTGTGCTTAGTCCAGTACCATGCTGATTTGGCTATTATGGGTTCTTTTCCATATAAATTTAAAAATTGTTTTTCCTATTTCTGTGAAGAAAGTCATTGGTATTTTGATAGAAATTTCATGGAATCTGTAAGTTGCTTTGAATTGTGTTATCATAATAACTGTATTAATTCTTCTAATTCATGAACATAGAATATCTTATCATTTTTTGCATGTCCTGCTTAATTTCTTTCGTTGATGTTTTATAGTTTTGCTTGTACAGACATTTCACTTCTTTGATTAAATTGATCCCTAGGTATTTTATACTATTTGTAGCTGTTGTAAATAAGATTGTTTTTATGATTTCTTTTTCAGATTGTTTGCTGTTGATGTATATAAATGGTATTGATTTTTGTACGTTGATTTTTAATTCTGTAACTTTATTGAATTTCTATATCATTTCTAAGAGTTTTTGCTGGAGCTTTTTCTAAGTATAAGATCATGTCATCCAAACAAGGCTAATTTGACTTTTTCCTTTACAATTTGGATGCTCTTTATTTCTTTCTCTTTTCTAATCGCTCTGGCCAGACTTCTAGTAATATGTTAAATAAAAGTGGTGAAAGTGAGCATCCTTGTCTTGTTCCAGATCTTAGAAGAAAGGCTTTCAATTTTACCCCACCTGACATGTTGGTATAGTTGCGAGTTTGTCAATATGTTATTTATTATTTTGAGATTTGTTCCTTCTCTACCCTGTTTGTTGAGGATTTTTATCATTAAGTGATGTTGAATTTTATTGAATGCTTTTTCAGCATCTATTGAAATAAACATATGGGTTTGTTATTGGTTTTGTTACCATAATGTATCAAGTTTATTAGTCTGCATATGCACCATCCTTGCATCCCTAAGATGAATTCGATTTGATCATGGTAAGTGATTTTTTTAGTGTTTTGTTGAATTCAGTTTGATAGTATTTTGTTGAGGATATTTACATCTATGTTCAATCAGTGATATTGACTTGTAGTTTTCATTTTTTGTTGTATCCTTATTTGGTTTTGGTATCAGGGTAATACTGACCTACTAAAACAAGTTTGGAAGTATTCCCTCCTCCTCATTGTTTTCTTGAAGAGTTTGAGTTGAATTTGTATTCGTTATTTTAATATATAGTAGAATTCAGCAGTGAAGACATTAGATTGTGAGCTTTTCCTTGCTGGGAGACATTTTATTACAGTTTTGATCTTGTTACTCATTATTTTTGAGGTTTGTTTAGGTCTTCTATTTCTTTACAGTTTAATCTTGGTAAGTTGTATGTGTTTAGGATTTCATAAATTTCTCCTAGGTTTTCAAATTTGTTGATATACAGTTGTTTTTAATAGTCTCTAGTGATTCTTTGTATTTTTGTCGTCTTGTTTTCTGTGTCTCCTTTTTCAATCTGATGTTATTTATTTTGGTTTTCTCTCTTTTTTTTTTCTTAGCTTATCTACCAAATATTGACTCCTTTATTATTATAATATACTGATATTCTTTGTCTCTTTTTACAGTATTTGATTTGTGTCCCATTTTATCTGTTATAAGTACAGCTACTCCTTCTCTTTTTTGGTTTCCAGTTGCATAAAGCATTTTTTCTCACCCCTGCATTTTCAGTCTCTGTGTGTCACTACAGGTGAAATAAGCTCCTTATAGGTAGCATATAGTTGGATCCTGTTTCTTTATTTGGCCACTCTATGCCTTTTAATTAGAGAACTGAGTCAATTTATATTCAGTGTTATTATTAATAAATGAGGACTTTCTACTGCTTTTTTGTTTCTTGTTTTCTGGTTGTTTGTAACTCTTCTCTACTCGATTATTCATCCTTTGTGGTTAGGTGATTTCTCTGGTAGTACATTTTATTTTGTCGCTTTTTATTTTCAGTGAATCTACTATAGTTTTTGCGTTGTTGTTACCATGAGGCTTATAAAATTCATCTTATAGCTATAACACATTATATTAAAGAAATGAAAACTTAGATTACCAAGAAAAGGATAAAAACAATGGACAAATTGAAGAAAAAAATCTGCACTGTAACTCATATCCCCTCACATTTAGACTTTTTATGTTGCCTAATTTTATGTATTTGTATATTGCCTATCTCTTAACTGATTGCTGTAGCTATTGTTGTTTTTGATAGACTTGTCTTGTGGGCTTATTTCCAGAGTTATGAGCAGATTGCAGGCCACAATTATACTACTAGAGTATTCTGGGTTTTCCTGTGTTCTTAAGTTTACCAGTAGGCTTTATACCTTCAAATATTTTCTTTTTTCATAATAGTCCCATATGATCCTTTTTTATTTTCAAGGGATACATTGTAATGCCTCCTCTTTGCTTCTTTTATTTAGAATTTTATTTATTTGAGTCTTCTATGTTTTTTTCTTATTTAGCCTAAGTGTTGACTTATTTTGTTTATTAAATAAACTATTAATTTACTTGTTTTTTTAACACTTTATTCTTTATTTTATTTACTTCTCCTCTAGTATTTATAATTCCCTTCCTTATCCTCACTTCAGGCTTCATTTGTCCTTCTTTTTCTAGTTCCGTGAGCTATAAAGTTAGATTGCTTATTTGAGATTTTTTTTTAAGGAGGCATTTCTCACTACAACTTTTACTCTTCATATTGCTTTTGCTGAATCACTAACATTTGGGTATGCTATGTTTCCATTTTTATTTGTTAAACTTTAGAAGGGAAAAAACACAATGGGAAAAAATAGTGTCGTCAGTAAGTGGTGCTGGGAAAACAAACATTTGCATGTAAAAACGAAATCAAACGCTTATTTCACATTTTATACAAAAATGAATTCAAGATGAATTCAAGATATAAATGTAAGACCTGAAACTGTAAAATCTGTGGGAAAAAACATAAAGAAGAAATTTCCTAGCATTGATCTGGGCAATAATTTCTATATAGTACACCAAACACTCAGGAAACAAAGGCAAAAATGGACACTGGATTGGATCAAGCTAAAAAGTTTCTGCGCATCAAAGGAAAAAATAAAGAGAGTCAACCTGCAGAATGAGAGAAAATATTTGCAAGCCACATATCTCATAAGGGGTTACTATTCAAAATATGTAAGGAACTCCTACAACTAAATATCAACAGAATGATAATAATAGTCTGGTTGTAAAATAGGCAAATGTCTAGATAGAAATTTTTAGAAGAAATATTTATGACCAACAGGTAGATGAAAGGTGCTCGCTATCACTAATCATCAAGGAACTGCAAATCAAAATCACAATGAAATATCAATTCACACCTGTTCGAGTGGCTACTAACAGAAAGATGAAAGATAAGTGTTGGCAAGGATATGCAGTAAGAGGAATCCTTGTACACTATTGCTGGGCATTCAAAATGGTTCAGCCAGTATACAAAACAGTATGGAAGTTTCTAAAAAAATTTAAAATAGAAACACGTTATAATCTAACAACTATAATTAGGGTATATTTCCAAAGAAAATATGATCAAGATGTAAGAGACATCCACATCCTCATGTTCATTTTAGTATTATTCATAGTAGCCAAGAAATTAAAAAACCTAAATGCTCAACAATGGATAAATAAATATATGAAGAAAACTGGGCATATATATTAGCATTCCATTGTGTATACACACACACACACACACACACACACACACACAGACACATGAAATAAGATTAATGGGCCTTTAAAAAATGAAGGAAATCATCCCATCTGCACAATAAATCCTTGTGGAAGATGTTATGGTAAGTCTTCTGAGCTGGCAGACATTATGCTAAGTGAAATAAGATAAATGTAGAAAGACAAATACTGCATGATCTCACTTATATGTGCAATCTAAAATAATTAAATTCATAGAAACATAGTAGAATGGCGGTTACCAGAAGCTGAAGGAAGGGACAAATGGTCGCTTCAAGGTGGGACAAAGATGTTGGTCAAGGTGAGGTGTACAAAGTTTCGGTTTTGCAAAATGAAGAAGTTCTAGATATCTAATTGTAAAACAATATTACTACAGTTAACGATATTGTATTGTATATTTGAAATTTGCTAAGCCAGTACATCTTATGTGTTCATAACACACACATTCACACAAACATGCACAGAATATAGTAACTATGTGAGACATGAAATTACAGATATGTTAATTAGCTTGATTGTGGTAAACATTTCCCAACGTAAAGATACATCAAGTCACCAAATTGTGAACCTTAAATATATATAATTTTTAGTTGTCAACTGCACTTCAATAAAACTGGACAAAAGTCAATTTTTTAATTAAAAGATTAAAAAAATTAATTTCTATCATATATTTGCCATTTCCAGTGCTCCTCATTCTTTCCTGTAGTTATTTCCCTGTTTAGTTCCAATGTTCTACCTGAACTATCTTTAACATTTTTTTTAATATAGCGGGTCTATCAACAGTGAATTCATGTGTCTGAAAAAAAATGCTCATTTTTCTTCAGTTTTAGTATAAGTTTTCACTGGTGAGAAATTCTAGTTTGGCAGAGTTTCCCCCTTCCCCCAGCACTTTAAATATGTCTTTGTCTTCTGGCTTGCAGAATTTTTGACAAGAAATCTGTGGAAATTTGCAATTTTCTTCCTCTCTAAATAATTTGTCTTTTAAAAATCAGGCTGCTTTTCAGATTTTAACCTTCATCTCTATTGTTTAAACATTTTTAATATGAAGTGGGTGTTTTGTGACTTTTTTGGAGTTTATTCTTTTCATTTTATTTAACATTATGTATGTGTGCATTTATAGTTTTATCATTTTTTAAAAAATGTTGTAGCCATTATTCTTGAAAATGTTTTCTGCGCTTCCTTTTTCCCCTTGTGGCTCAAAATTGCTCAAATATGAGACCATCTAACATTATTTCCCAGGTCACTGAAGCTCCACTTATCTCCCATTCATTCTTTTCCTGTTGTTCTTCAGTTATTAACTTGTATTGCTTTGCTTTCAAATTAATTACTCTTCTTCAGTGATTACCTTATTCAAACTGTCAGTAAATTTTTCTTTCTTTTTTTTTTTTTGAGACAGAGTCTTATTCTGTCGCCCAGGATGGAGTGCAATGGCACAATCTTGGCTCACTGCAATCTCTGCCACCTGGGTTCAAGTGATTCTCCTGCCTCAGCCTCCCGAGTAATTGGGATTACAGGCGCCCACCACCACGCCCGGCTAATTTTTGTATTTTTAGTATAGACGGGATTTCACCACGTTGGCCACGCTGGTCTCGAACTCCTTACCTCAGGTGATCTGCCCGCTTCCATCTCCCAAAGTGCTGGGATTACAGGCGTGAGCCACAGCGCCGGGCCAGTAAAATTTTCATATTAGATATTATATTTTCAAATCTAGAAATTGTATTTGCTCCTTTTATGTATTTTATTTTTCTTCTCAATTTGCTTAGGATTTTCTTTACATCCTTGGACCTATTTTTTATCTGTTTTAAAGTACTTGTTAATTTCATCATCTCTGTTATTTTGGTCTGTTTCAGCTGACTGGGTTTTCTCATGCATATGCATCATATTTTATTGAATTCCAGATTTTTGGAATTCTGTATTTTTGAGTGTTATAGTTGGTTGTAATAGTCGGAGGGTGTTGGTGTGTGTTCTAGCAGTCTCTGAGACTTGTTTCTAAAGTTTCTTAGGGCAAGTCGAGAGCAGTCTTACTCCAGGGTAGTTTAGTTTCACTTCTAAGGCTTTCCTTGGGCCTCTACTGAGGGCACAAGCATCCAATAAAGTCTCTGCACACTGACTGCTAGAAACTGAAACAATCCCCTTTTCTGTGTGAACTCTAGAAATTTTTCACCTTTATGTTGCCATACAATGTTTTTTTTGTTTTTGTTTTCTGCAATTGTGCTGTGATCATCCTTGGGGAATTTCAATCAAAGACCCAAGGAAACCATTTTGTAGATTTCTTTTATTCTTTCTCTGAATAATTTTCTCCTTTCCATTCCTGGGATCCATAAATTCTAACACTCTTAATTTCTATAAATTCTTATCTCTTGCTCCTTAATTTAGCAAAACTGTGGGACTCTGGATACCTCTTCTTTGCTAGGAAGTTAAAAATGTCTCAAAGCAAAGGGGTAGGTACAGACATCAGTGTCATGATTAAACTTTAAAAAGAGTATTTGTTAATTGAGTTTTAAATTTATAATTGATAAACTGCAAAACTGGAATAGATTGTCTACTCAGGAGAACTTGAAATCATAAAATTTTTCTTTTTTATTTTCTGATTCTTCACTCTATCCCTTCTTCTTTAATAAAACTGATTATTTTTATTTATTTATTTTTATTATGTTCTATGCTTTGAAGCAGCAGTTACTAGAAGCCCTTTAGGGTATTGTTCACTCACACTTTAAGGGCCTTTATTGATACCTAAATCAAACCATCTGCTTGACATTCAGAAGGAAGGTTAAAAAGAAAAAAGTCAACATTTATATTAGTTCTATGCAACATTATATTCTAGATGATAATGCAAGTTCATAAATGAATGTTGGCACTGCTTACAGTCATTTGAGTCAGATGTTTTAAATTACTTGTGGGCAATTTGAGAACTTTGAAAATTTTAATACATAAATATGATTAGCTTAACCTAGGAAACCTCATTAATAAAACACAATCAGCCTTTTTATGAGACAGAGCCTATGTAAGGAAACTTATTTCTGTTTTAGGAATTCTAATAGTTGGTTGGTTTAAAATACAGGGTTGTCTTCCAAGGTATTAGTTATCAGTTTGCCAGAAAAGTAATTTTTATCAACTCTCTATTTTAAATATAAACTATCATATTTGACATTTTTGTATATTTTCCACGTTGGCCTTTCACTTCTCCAAGAAGCAAAGCATACAAAATAAAGGAGTTAAAAGCTAGATTTGTGACCGGGCTCAATTTACTGACCTTGGCCATGTTTATTAAATTTTCTCAATACATTCTTCTCAACTGTAAAATGAAAATAGCATAACTCATAGGATTTGCCTATATCAGCTATAAAAAATAAATGAGGAAGCATTTTATAAAAGATAAGAATAGTATATATTAGGTATTGGTAATATTTATATATTTACTTTAATTAACCATCTTCTCAAAAATGAGTGAAGTAGAAACATAAATACAAAATTATCTGTTTAATATTGCAGTACCATTCTCTATGCTTGACTTCACAGTCCTCTACTTGGGAAAAGTATGAAAGGAGATATTGGAATACATTATTGCCTGCTGAGGTATAGGCCCCAGACTCTTAGAGCTACTTTGACATAACCCTTCAAACTTTGTGTTTTCTCAACCTTACTTTAATTTTCACTAGCTTTTTAGCTAAGCATTCCCAAAGACAGAAAATGAAAGAGAGGAGCAGGTTGACATCAACCCAAAAACAAAGGAAAAATGGAGAAAGTCTCAAGACAAAGGAAGCTTTTGAACCTTTTATCACTCATCTGAAAGCTCCAACTCCTAATACTATGGCCCAAGTCAGTCTTTGGCCAAAAGAGAAGCTCTTCTTGGGGGAGTTGTAATAATGGAGGGGAGATTCCTGGACGTTTCCTGTCTGTGTCAATTGTTACAATTCCTTATATTTTGTTCTTTTGCTGATTTAAAGAGTTGAACAGTCAGTTCCACTGTCAGTGAGAACTATAAATAAAACTCTGGTAGGAGAACTTCAGTAGAGATTTAAAAAATTTACCTTTTAAGGTTCACATTTTCAGAATTGCAGTTAGCCTTTGGTAACTTCTTGAGACTAATGACAGACTAAAGCTCATGACTTCCTGTAAATTTATATTTAATGTTACCTCCAAAAATCATCTCAACATATTACTTCAATTACAGTTTCCCCAAAGCCACCTTATACACTGAGATAAGGACTCTTCTTCTTACCCATTTCTTTTTTTGTTTGTTTGTTTTTGAGACGGAGTCTTGCTCTGTCGCCCAGGCTGGAGTGCAGTGGTGCGATCTCGGCTCACTGCAAGCTCCGCCTCCCGGGTTCACGCCATTCTCCTGCCTCAGCCTCCCGAGTAGCTGGTACTACAGGTGCTGGCCACCGTGCCTGGCTATTTTTTTGGATATTTAGTAGAGACAGGGTTTCACTGTGTTAGCCAGGATGGTCTCGATCTCCTGACTTCATGATCGGCCCGTCTCGGCCTCCCAAAGTGCTGGGATTACAGGCGTGAGCCACCGCGCCCGGCCCCTTACCCATTTCTTAACTTGATGTTATCTAACTCAGTCATTTTACCAAAACGGGCTCAACAAACGGGTATTATGCATGTATTCAGATAAGAGCATAGCCCAAATCTTACAAAATCCAGCAACATAAAATATCTTCCAAATACGCCCCCTGTATATTCTTAGATAAATTATTTCTTCCCACAGGAAAAAAAAAATGGGTCTCCAAAACTATAAAGCACATTTGAGTCAGTCCTAGCCAGAGAATGGTCTTGAAAATTTGGAAGATATGAAAATTGTGTATTCTTTTAGATTTTCTTAACTTTGCCTTTGTTTTGAGTCTGATATCTACAAATGTATGTGATAATGTGAGGTTGGAATCCGAAAGAATTAGCAATAATAGAAGCAAGCTGCAAAACTTGGCACTACTATAATCGAAACCGTCTATGAAAGCTGCTAAATATTTGTTATTGACAGCTGTAAGAATTCCTCTTATTTGCATAACCCAATTAAAAATTAGCAAAATAATTTCACATGTACTCGAGCCTTTTGAAGATGGTAGATAAAATGGATAGTATTATGACTACTTTAGAGTAGGAAAAAAAAAAAAAGAACTGAGAACTTATGATGGCAAATGACTGTCAAAATAAAAAGCAATTAGAATGGGTTCCGGACTCAAAACCAGGGTCACTGCCCACTCCTAGAGACCAGTAATAAAACAGGACTGCACCAAGACCAACCTAATTCCCGGTAAGTGAAATTACTAGGGGGAAACTGAAAGAGGTTAGGCAGTAGAATGGAAGGAACACATGCTCGAAAATCAGACAGACCTGAGTTCTAATTCTAGGTTCCTCTATTTACTCAGCTCTCAGATGATAAGTTTTCACATCATCACTCAATAAGTGTAAATATGAGAAATTTGTAAGATTATTGGCTGGGCGCGGTGGCTCACGCCTGTAATCCCAGCACTTTGGGAGGCCGAGGCTGGCAGATCACGAGGTCAGGAGATCGAGACAATCCTGGCTAACACGGTGAAACCCCATCTCTACTAAAAATACAAAAAATTAGCCGGGTGTGGTGGCGGGCGCCTGTAGTCCCAGCTACTCGGGAGGCTGAGGCAGGAGAATGGCGTGAACCTGGGAGGTGGAGCTTGCAGTGAGCCGAGATGGCGCCACTGCACTCCAGCCTGGGTGACAGAGCGAGACTCCGTCTCAAAAAAAAAAAAAAAAGATTATTAAGAATATTATAGTTACTAAAAATGTGTATTATACACACATAGTATTATGCTTACCAACTAAATGATAATATTGATGTGATTACCTTATTTACTTCCCTGTTCTTAGTGCATTAATGTGGTGATATTGGGCTAAATGGTCTCTAAAGTACTCATAACTCCAGGTCCAATTAAGCTAATTAAGAATTGTTTGGTGAGCATATACAGGTGAATTTTCGGGTACATGTAAATACTGCATTTAATTTGTCCAATATCATTTGATATTCAAATTCAACAAATATTTATATAATGCAATAGTAAATATAATTCAACAAGTATTTATTGAACACTTACTACATACTACAACCTGGAGGTTAGGTGGGGAACCCAACAAAACACCTGCCCTAAAGAAACCTGAATCCTAATAAGAAAAACAGATAATAAAAAGAAAATATATATACACATAAATATATACACATATATATATACACATATATATACATATATACACACATATATATACATATATACACATATATATACATATATATACATATATACACATATATACATATATACACATATATATACACATATATACATATATATACACATATGTATATCACATAGTGATAAATACTGTGAACTAAATGAAATAGCGTGTGGCTAGTGAGTGACTGACATACTTGGAGAGAGTTTTATGTAGGGAAGTCAAAGGAAATATCTAAGAAAGCAAAAAAATTTTTTTTTTTTTGAGATGGAGTCTGGCTCTGTCGCTCAGGCTGGAGTGCAGTGGCGCAATCTCTACCCACTACGACTTCCGCCTCCCAGGTTCACGCCATTCTCCTGCCTCAGCCTCCTGATTAGCTGGAATTACCCGTACCCGCCACCACGCCCGACTAATTTTTGTATTTTTAGTAGAGACGGGGTTTCGCCGTGTTGGCCAGGTTGGTCTGGATACTCCTGACCTCAGGTGATCCGCCTGCCTCGGCCTCCCAAAGTGCTGGGCGTGAGCCATAGCCTGCAGCCCAAAAAAGTGAGAAATTAGAAGCAACCTAAGTGAAAGGATAGAGGGAGCTCCAGGGAGTGCTGGGGAAAAGAATACTCCAGGCACCATGAATGGGACATGCAAAGGTCCTGAGGAAGAGAACACGAATGTGGCCAGGCTGGGATAAACAAAACAGAGTGTTAGGAGATACAGCAGGAAATAAGCCCAGGCCATGATGTATTCAGCCTTGTAGGCCATTGACTTTGTACTTTATCCTTCATGAAATAGCAACTGCAGGAAGGTTCTGAGCAGATGGCTAGCATCATCTGATGTATTTTTAAAAAATCACTCTGTTATGTACAGAATAGACTGTGTACAATCCGTGAACAGGGTGGAAGCAGGGAGGTGTCAAGAAACTATTTTAATTGTCCATTTAATACATTTTTCATCCAATATGTGCTGTTGTTTATTTTAAAAATGCCCTATTTCCACATATCCTTACAATGTTGTTTCAAGGAACCTCCACTAAATTCTAACGTGGCTACAATTTGGCCAAACGGAAATCCCTCACCTGGGAACTAGCTCTCTCCTATGTGATGATGCTTTCCTAACATTTTGAATTATATATTACTTTCTACCCATTTACTCTGGGATAACCAGAGACCCTCACAGGACTCCTACCAAGACTACCACAGCTGAACCAATCCTGTCAACTCAGCATTGAGCAGTGAGCTAAATAATTTGCATTGACAGTGCAGTAGAGGAGAAGATGGAAATATCAAAAGGCAGGGAATGAAAGTGTATGCCTGCTAAATATCAGGGGAGGCCACTGACCTCACAATGAAAACATGGACAAGCAGATAACTTGGGCTAAGTTGGTTTGGGAAAGTTTCCTGTGGGCAATGAGGAATTTCATTGGTTTGTCCTCACCTCCTCCTCTTGAATCTATTTCGTAAGTGAAAAAAAAAATCAGAAAGATTTTTTGTTTTTCATCAAAGAATACATTTTTCTAGGACTACAAGTTACAGCTCACTGGATAAAGTATTTTTTTAATTGGTAATGTCATCTATAGATAATATTCATTAGAAAATGTACTAGTTAGTTTTCTAGATGTGTTTGTAACAGCCCTCTTTCAGACATTCCCTGAGAAACTCTCTAAAGCTGAAAGTATTTTATAACAATTGATTTAAAATCATATACTATATTTAAGTTTCTTATTTTGTGTTTGATGTAACATTTTGGCCTCCATGCAATTGACTTTTTTCTCATACTGTATTCAAAATTTTTCCACGGCAGGGCCTGACCTGTGCTAATTCACATCCGCAGTGAGTATGAGTTCTGTACTTTCTGTCATCCAATGGCCAGAATAAATCCCAAGACTGTATGATCTCTAGAAGGAGGACAACATAAGGATTCCACATAGAGATATTAGTGTCTGCGAACAGCTTTCGTTCCCACCTGGTCTGAGATGGTCTAGGTACCTGGGGACCCTGTAGCTCCACATACCCTCTTGATCCACAAAACACAGATGCTTTTACTAATGACTTTCATCCATGCTATGGTTGTGTGATAAACCACTGCCAACTTAGTGGCATAAAAAACAAAAATAATTTTATTACGCTCAAAGATTTTCCAATCAGCCATTTGGAAAGGGCATAGCTAGGGTGGCTGGGCTGGGCTTTATAGCACCTGTCTTTCTCTGGGGTGGCAGGGGTGACACAGTGTCTGAGGTTTGCATCACCTTCAGGTGCACCCTCTTACAGGTCTGGGAAGGTCATAGAGTCACCTTTTCTACAAGTTCTGAATTCTCTTTTTCTTTCAATCATGTACAATAAAACTAGGTTACTTTGCAATTGAAGATTACTATTTAGGACTTTTGAGAGATCCAATGATGGGAGCATTGTTAATGAATCTTACATTTATTTCGGCATTTTTTCATATATAGATTTTCTTGCTATCATGGGGTTACTGAAGATACAAAGAATGAATCATGCCAGTCATGAGTCTCAGACAGATGACAAATAAATAGTAAATTATCAATTTACCGATTCTTTCAAGTGATATTTTTTGAGCAACTGTTATATATCATATGCCTTTCTGGCCAATGGAAATACAAGGAGAACAAGAGAGGAAAGGTTTTGCTCTTATGGAATTGCATGCCTGTGTGAGAAGAGAGAACAAGTGAGCAACAAGCAAGCAAACAAACAAAAAGTAAAGAATGTTCTTAGGGAATTAAAATAGGATAGAGCAATAGCAAGTGAACAAGTCAGACATTAGATTGACAACAGAAGCCCCTGTGAGAATATGGTACTCAAACTGAGATCTGGTGATAAAGTTGAAAGGTAAGAACACTTCAGGGAAATATATAACATTAGAGCAAGGCTTAATGTTCAAATAAGCTTAGAATTTTTGAGAAACAGGAAAAATACTAGTGAGTCAAGAATATAGGGAATAAAAGATGAAGAGGAGAGTTACATAAAGAGAAATTGAAGAGATAGTCAAGGGCTGAATTATAAAAGGCTTTTTACTCCCCAAAAAATAAAGTGTCAGGATTTTTACTAAAATTTGAAGCCATTAGAGACATTAAAGAATGAGTGTTATAATCTTTATAAAAAAATAATTAGAAATCTGGTTGCTGAGTGAAAAGTGAATTGTAAGGATGAGGCCAAAACAAGATCAGGAGACTATTGAATGAGTCCTGATGAAAAATGGTGGCTGCTTTGACCAGCATGTGTGCAGTGGAATTGGAGTGAAGGGGTTTACTTCTGCATATATTTCAAGATAAAGTTCATAGCAATTCCTAATGGACTGGGTGTAGGAAGAAGAAAAGAAAGACACCTAGTTTTTCACTTCAGCAACTGATTTGAAGAAGCTTTTGAAGAAAGGAAAAAAGATCCACAGGGAGATGCACAAATGTAAGTCTGGACCTACAAGTAAAGAGTGGGACTGGAAATAAATATCTTAGAGCCACAGACTGAATGAGGTTACTTATGTAGATAAATAAGGAAGAAGGATCCCTACTATGTCCTCAGATATTTCAATAGATGTTAAGCAAGGAGGCAAAGCCAGAAAAAAAATCTCGTGAGAAATTGCCAGGAAACTAATGAGACGCTAGGGCAATTATGTAATCCAGAAGCCAACCGCAAGTAGACAATATTTGTCCATTTTTTTCTGAGAAGCCAAGTAAAGTAAGTGGCTATTTGATATATCAAGGAGTAGGTTATTGATAACAATGCTGTGAACAATAGCTGTATAGTCGTGGGGACCCAGTGGAGAAGAGAACTTTAGACATTAGAAAATGAGGACATTTAGAAGCACTTTATTCATTATTTTTCCATGTAAACAAGTAAAAAAAATGTGCATCTGAAGTCAACTAAGGAATATATTTACATGTGTTTATAAGCTGTTAGGACAGATCCTATACAGAAAAATAAATTGATGATGCATGAGAGAGATGGAATAATTGCAGGGGTATTGTAGTTACTCAGTGAAGACGAACGCTGGATGTCTGAGGAAAATCTTCAGAAATAAATAGATATCATCCAGACCTTTAGGGAAGCAGAGATAATATGGCATGCAAAACTTCAATTTAAAATTCAGACTATAAAACTGTATTCCAGACATTCCAGATCAGTATATCCATCAATGTCTTTACTTTAAAACTGACATAGATGCGGCTGGGCATGGTGGCTCATGCCTGTAATCCCAGCACTTTGGGAGACGGAGGCGGGTGGATCATCTGAGGTCGGGAGTTCGAGACCAGCCAGACCAACATGGGGAAAGCCCTTCTCTACTAAAAATACAAAATTAGCCAGGCGTGGTGGTGCATGCCTGTAATGCCAGCTACTCAGGAAGGCTGAAGCAGGAGAATCACTTGAACCCAGGAGGCAGAGGTTGCAGTGAGCCGAGATCGTGCCACTGCACTCCAGCCTGGGCAACAAGAGTGAAACTCAGTCTAAAAAAAAAAAAAAAAAAAAAAAAAAAAAACCTGATCCAAATGCTTCTTGCTTCTTATCCTTCAAAATGCAAGATGATTTTTATTTATGTTTAATTAAATGCTGCTTAATTTTTTGTTGTGAAATGTCCATGTTTTTTAAATAATGCCATATATTCATGTCATACATAGGAATAAGCATGTTGACCTTTCCATCCTATTCAAGTTAATTGAAGAAGTAAAAGAAAATATTTTATGTGTCATTCTGTTACAAGATTTGACTACATTCTACTCTCTTTCATAGAAGATGAAATTACTACTAGTATTTTAGTCACCAGTTGATAGAAAAATCAACACTGAAACTGAACTTTTCTATGCCCTCTTAGGCTGTTGGAAACATAAACTCCACCATTTTTTGTATTTTTATTGATATATCTTAGTTGTACATATGTTTGGGGTACCTGTATAAAATGTGTAATGATCAATGGGATCAAATTGGGGTTATTAGGCTATCCATAGCCTCAAATGCTTATCTTTTCTTAATTTGTGCTAATATCCTAAAGTACACTGCCCCATCACCAAGGTCAAAATAAGATGAGACAAGAACATCTAAGACCTTAAAACAGGCCCCCAGAAGCTAACAGATCTATCTTCATCAGATCTAGATAGAGCTGTAAAATTCATAGCCAAATATAAATTTGGATTAGCTCCTTTAAAAATAGAAGTTTCAAGAAACTATGCTTTTTTCCAACCTACTTCACGCAGAGAATACTAAAATTAATAATGACTTAAGGAGATCTCTTTGATGTTCAGTTTAGTGTGCCACGTGCTATGTGAGGCATACAACAATAATAGAATGCATACAATTCAGAAGCTTACTTGTGATAGTATGATAAGTCTAAAGTCATGACCGCATTAATGTATTCTCACATTTTCCAGGTTTATATTTATTGTTTTTTTTGTTGTTGTTTAGTCTTGTTTTGAAAACTTTATTTGTCATCTATCTAGAACTGATAGAAACAGTCTGACTTGATTTTTCTCCCCTCCTTAATGGATACTTAACTAACCCAACGTCATTGATTCCATAATCGATCTTTTTCTGCTTAGTTGAAATATTGCTTATTTCATACATATTACTTACTACATACATACTATATATGAATTTTATACATGCATGAGCCTAATTCTCAATTTTTTAATTAAAATTTTTATCCCAAATTTTTTATTAAAATCTGTACCATATTACAATCAAATTCATAGCATTTTAATATATAATCTATAATTAATAAGACAAGCCTACTGTCTATTCTTCTTTCTCAAAATTACCCTGACTCCTCTTGAACACTTATGATTTCATGTGCATTTTAAGATCACCTTCTCAAGATCTACACATATTTGAATTTCTGAGTAGAATGGGTAGCATAACAGGCTGATTCCATTTTTGGCAAAAAGAAAGAACTAATTAAAATTTGAGATGAATCCAACAAGCATTACCTAAATTACTACTTTGTACCAAGTACTATATTAGGAATGAAGGCTAAAAAATAAATTAAATAAGAAAACCTCCCTGCTCTCTTAAGGTTTTAATCTAATGAAGACACAGAAACATAAAAGGTTGATTGCTCTGAAAGCATTTCTTAGTGGTTACTTTCTGAGTAGTATTGTCAATTATTCCCCACAGCAAGTATCACAGCCACCCTCCCACCCATGAGACAATCTACTGGATGTTTCTGTTCAACTCTTTCTCATCAAATTACGTTTTATGCTAAATGTTCATATGCACTATTTATTTTCTTAAATACTCTGTATGCTACATCTTGTACTTGAGTATGAAGGAGTTAATTCTCTCGAGAAGCTGATGATCTAGAGGTGAAAACACACCAACTGAAAACTACAATGAAGTGCAGTAAATACTGTGAAAGAGTCTAGGGTAGGGGGCCATAAACACCACACAGTGTGAGCAGAACTCTGCAATAGTTGACAGCAAGGGCTCTGTCTCAGACTCTTAAGGTCCAAGCCTCTGCTCTCCCATTTACCACAATGGAATCTTGAACATGTTACTTACACCTCCTATGTCTCAGCTTTTTTGATCTGTAAAATCTGTAAAATGAAGACAGTAATACAACCACAGAGAGTGGTTTGTGATGAATGTATGAGATAATTTGTGCAAAACTCTTGAATCTGTTGGGCACAGAGTAAATATTTGAGGAATGTTAACTGTTATTATTATTATTACTTTTATTGGCCAGGGAAACATTTTGGAAGGAGATGAATGCTTGATCTGAATCCTAAAAGAATGCAGAAAGAAGATGAAAGGAGTCTCTTTGTAAAGTGCATTGCTAGTCAGTCCAATGTTTAAAAGCCACCAACATTTCAAATGGGAAATACTTTTATGCATGTTTCAAAGATGAGGCAACAGACTCAAAGAAGTTAAACTTTCCCAGAAAACCAATCTAGCAAAAAGTACAAATGGAAATCAAAGGTAAAAGTTTTGATGCCACTTTTGCATCTATAACTCTAAATAGGGCTGCCTGCTCCCTCCATTTCCTGTTACCTACTAACAATAAGCTGTGCCTTGCCGGGACTATTAAATCAGTGCACCTGCAAAAGCAGACGCTGAGCTTTTCTCTGCCCACTCAACTAAAATGCCTCGATTTGTTTTGAATGCACACTCTTTACAACTGGTAATGGAGGAGCAAGTAAAATGAACTCAACTCAATTTTATTTTAAATAAATGCTACAGTGAGTTTAGTTAGGAGGAAGAAACTTGTCTTTTAACCAGAATAGCTAGAGCATTTTAATCCAAAAGTCATTTTGAGAACACTGCCAGGTTCCTAAATAGCTAAGCCAGAATAAAGTCACTTCCCTTAATATGTGTTTAGGGAATGCAAGAAAAAAAATGAAAATTTCTACCCGATAAAATGCTGCTTGAATTATTGATGGTCTGACACTCTTATATGGGTTTTCATTCTTAGTGCGGAATCACATGCAAATTTGGTAATATTAAAAATCACTTCTCATTTTAGAAAAGGGGTAGAAATTGAGATTCTGAGTTTATGATAATTGAATTCTAAATACTCCATGATTTTTCCTTCATTATCTTAAGGTTTCACATTAATATCCTACAGCTACCTGTAGAGTCTCAATGTAACAACCCACAAGCTGGATCTCAAGCCTATTCTATTCATGCCTCAATCATAAAACACGCCTATCTACTGTGCCATCCCAGAAAAATATTTCCTTTTGAAAAATCCAACTGGTTACTGTCCATTATTTGTGTACTACTAGCCTCTGGCCATGCACTTGAGCTAGGAAAGACCCCACTGCTTCTCTGGGGAGGCCTTCACTTGAGACTAATTTTCACTTCTGTATATTCTTGCACTATTTTTATTACCTGGAAATATATTCTGAGAATGCCTGGAGGAATACTAAGTTCCATGACAAATTATTCCCATTCATAACAAGGGAGCGTAATTACTTGTTCATATGTCCACATTTATAATTGGGTTTCATAACAGAACACAAATATTATTTCACAAAAATCTATCTGCATTATATTTGTACAATTAGCAGAGGCTAAAAGAAACTTGATAATTTCTTAGTTTGGTGAATTGAAATATAAGCATATTAGTATCTTATTATCATCCGTTTTAACACTAATGGAAATTTAATAAAAAATAACTGCATAGACCCATCCCATAATACTTTTACTCAGCAAGTATATGCTCTTTCTCTAGGGATGTCTTTACATGGATAAATTACCAGTTACAGGGGAAATGTGCTACCAAAAATATTTTAGCTTTTAAATAATATTTTTTGAAAGAAAAAAAATTGAAACTTTCTTATTTTCCTCATATTTGGTATTGAGTCTACCATTATAAACAAATGTTGGATCAAAAGTGCTAGGGAGGAAGGTGGTAACGGTAATTGTAACTCATTATTTCTCAATAATGAAGTGAGATTTGGCCCCCAAAATAATAAAAAAATTAAAGCACAATTCCATAACTCAATTCACCTTTTTTTCCAAGAAATACTGTCCTACCAATTGTTCTTGCATCATGATCAAACAAAAGATTCCGAATATAAATTTGTATAAGTCAGGAAACTTCGACAGAGCTAAAAAACCATTCAAATGAGGTTTTTATTTATTTAATTTTAATTAGGACTTTATCTACTAGTGCCTATATCGTGGACTCTAAAATGCCATTTTCCTCTAAAAGAAACAAGGACTCCTGCTTAGAGTGAGCTAAACATAGGATAAGCCTAAAACATCTTTTCATTCTAGAAGGAAAGGGAGCTATCCAAGAGTAAAAAGGTCGTGTCAGAAGAACTTAGGAGCTGGCCGGGCATGGTGACTTGCGCCTGTAACCCCAGCACTTTGGGAAGCCGAGGCAGGTAGATCACCTGAGGTCAGGAGTTCGAGACGACCCTGACCAACATGGTGAAACCCCGTCTGTACTAAAAATACACAAAAAAACATTCGCTGGGAGTGGTGGTGGGTGCCTGTAATCCCAGCTACTTGGGAGGCTGAGGCCGGAGAATCGTTTGAATCTGGGAGGCGGAAGTTGCAGTGAGCCGAGTTCCTGCCATTGCAATCCAGCCTGGGCAACAAGAGCGAAACTCTCTTAAAATGTTTTTAAAAATAAAATATAATACATAATTTTAGACAAATCTGTAATAATAGTAAAAATATAATTGGTCAACTTCTAAGCATGCTAAAATTGAATTCAGCATTTTTAAAACGATAAAGGAACAGAAAAAATAATATATAATGCCTTTGCTATATAAACTGTACAAGAGAGTAACCGTATAATTGATAACAGGAAGTTTCTTCTATTGTAGCTAAGTGAAGAAGGAATGATGGCATATCACCATCTAGCTACCTGCAATGGGCCAAGCATTAATCAATGGCTGCTACCTTTCCAAAACATTCTGGAGAAAATTAAGAGTTTTCTGCATATTTGTAATGTATATGTATTCTAGGATTATAGTGTTAATAACTGAGGAAATTGGAACTCGGCGTTGTGAATCCAGAGTACTTTCTAGGAGTTTGCTGTGGTGGTTGTTCAAATATCTCTGCATAGTTGATCTGTGTTTTGTTCCTTTCTCCAGCCAGATTTCTACTTCAAAAAACACAGAATTTTTGTGTCATCATGAATAGATCAGGAAGCTCCAAAGAACGCAACCTAAATTGTAATTTCTAGTTTCTACAATATCTTTCCTGTCTGTTCCTAACTTTCCATCTCTCCTGAGACTGCTCTGTTTTACACTCATTATAACTATTTCTCTAAACAATAGCAATAACTGCCTAACTGTTCTTACGCCTGTAAGAAATCTACTCTGCCATGACAATTAGCTTCCTAAATTAGCTTCACTGGGACAATTACATCATTTCATATTGCAGGAATTTCCCGAGACTTTGTGGTGGCTATAGAATGTACCTGTACCAATTTTGTATGGACCCAAATCTTCCCATTTCCGTTCCCACTACATCCCATATTGTAAATTTGAACTCAGTAGTGTCAACTATGCCTTGGTTTTTCAGCTTTCATGTGATTGCGTATGCTATTCTGTCAGCCTAGACTACTCATATGTGTAGTTTATGTTGTAGTGGATTTCAATGTATTTAAAATATTTGAAAATTATAGTTCATATATATGTGCATGAGTGCATATGAACTACTCTCTAAAATGTAAAAATGCTAGGTACTTGCAATGCGTAGGCATTTAATAATGGCCTTTAGTAAAGTCTGTTCTTCTCCAATACATGATTCAAATTAACTCATATTTAATTAGTATGGAAGGGGTTGATATCAATGTAACACAAAAGTCTAGTTGGTTCATTTATATTTTTTTATTACACTAACACTTTCATGCCATTCAAGTAAGAGCAATTGAATGCAAAGTTTACTAAGACAGCTGAACACATGTCATAGAGATATGGATTAAAGTACATGATGTTTATCTACCTCATTTCTTTATTTGTCTTGGCACAGTGTGGACATGTCCCCTTTCCTGTCTTGAAAGTGCTTTCTGCATGGTTCCCCTTAATCTATGAGCATTTTGCATTTTGTCCTTGTCTCTGTAACTTAGTAGCTTCAAACTTGCTTGTATCCTCTGGCATTGAGAACATTAACTTTGATTTTAGTGGTGAAGTCCAATATATTACCTAGTAATTTGTTTTTCATTTGGCAGGTAACAGACTTTTTTTTTTTTTTTTTAACCACGCTGGTATTGATATTATATTGTATTACTGGATGTTTTTCATAAAGATGTATTGGTTTGGGGCAGTTCATTCATAATCTTATTTTTCTAAAAAGTTACTTTTTAATTTTTAGAAGTCAAAGTTATTCAATAATGAACATATCATTTTACAGTACTCAACTCAGCAATATTAAAGAGAAAAGTTAAATATATTAGGAAGGGGTTTCCTGTAATGCCTTCCTCTGCCGACATGAAGATGTTTGGCTTTACACTTACTACAGTGACTTTATGTTACCCCTTCATTTCTAACAAACAAGAAACTAATTTTGTTCCTGGTCTGTTTTGTCCTCACTTCATTTAGCATTCTTATGATTGCATTTCTAAATCTTTAATTTAGCAGTGACTTTCACATTATCGTCTATTTCTCTCCCATTGTCCTAATGTTGCCAATGTTATAAAAGTAATTGCCTTGTAATCTTTGATTAATAGAATGGTGCATTATGTGACTTTACTATCTGACAGGTTTTGATTTTATTTAAATATGTGTAACGTTACAAGTTAATCTTCAAATGATTAGTGTAATGGTATATCACAAATACTATAAGGTTCATCAATACAAAAGTTGGGGATATTTCCTACTTTATTGAATAAAATTCCAACCGTGTGCTGTGACAATGTCAGTCCCTGTCTATTTGGTCTTGCCCATCCGAGGGTTTTTAAAGGCCAGTGCTTCTGGGCTCTGATCTTTCCAGTTTATGGCTAGCAAGAACTCAGTGGTCACTATGCCTTGGTGAGGTCTAGAAATGGTCTCTTACCACATTCCCAAGGCCAGTGTGCATGAAGCTACCAGAACCCCGAGAGCCTCATGCATCATGCTTCCCTCTCCATCTTGTATTCCAGCAATGTAGCCTGCTTGGGCTTCTCTCCTAATTTCAGGTTTTGTTACAATTTCTCATTGGAACTGGATGCCATTGTAAGTCCCAGATCAGTGTATTGGATACTTGATTCCCTAAATTACTGTTAAACATTCCCTCGTCCCAAGGTTTAAACTGGGATTTGTTTTTATAATTGCAAATTGTTCCACATTGCTGGGCTTGAACTAGGAATTAGCCACCAATGGAAAGAAGCAGTTGCTTTCTAGATGCCCTGGAACTATGTATCCTCTTAATCCTACACCATTATCAACACAGCAGGTTATAGGCATCAAACTTGCCTATAGGCTGTGCATTTGTGATTTAAACTTGTGCCTCCTCATTTGATGGGCTGATCTGTCTTCCTGGGAAGTTTCGTGATTATTCTTGTGGGTCTCTTTGGCCTTTTAATATCCATCATGATCTCCTAACATGCCTTTAAGATGTGTTAAGCACACCCTTATTACTCTAACAAACCATGCCCATCATTTAAGTGATTTCAGATAATATACGTAAGATTCTCATACATAACAGTCTAATGTGTGTGTTCCTGGTCAGCAGGTGTGTGTACACAGTGCACTGCTTCCCATAACACATTGAGACAGCCAAACTATCTTCTTCAGAATCTGGCTTCTAAGGTCACTCTACTCGTCTGCATCAAAATACGTCAGGAAAATTTTAATAGGCAAAGCCTGGAAGTTGTGTGTACCTATATTAAATTGTCTATAACAACCCCTCATGGTTAAAGAAGCTGGCAAATGTAGGCTCTGTGAGTGACCAGAAAATGAAACAAAACATAACAAAAGAAAACAAAACAAAAAAAAAACAAACTAACAATAACAACCCTCCCTTCACCATCCCCTCAACAGGAATTGTTGAACAGCAAGTGGCCTCTGTCTGGCACATGATAAAATACAAAAAACACTATAAGAATATGTATGGCACATTACATGACATTAAAATAATAAAGTACTTTAAATTATCTGTAAATCGTGGCAGATAATTAAAGTAGCTTAAAAAGTCCTTTTAGAACAAGGGACAGGTTAAAAAAAAACACCAAGCATAATAATCTTTTATCTGGGTATTTTATTTGTTTATTTATTTTGAGATAGGCTTTTGCTCTGTAACCCCGGCTGGAGTGCAGTGGCCCTATCTTGGCTCACTGCATATTTCGGTTTTTATACTTAGAAAATTTAAAGTGGTAAAACTACAAGAAGACTATAACAAATTCAATTAATTTCAAAAGTTATTACCTTAGTATTGTCTACATGGACGTGGAGGATAAGTACACAAATGATTAACAACTGAGGCACAGCTCAGGGGACTTGTTTTCTAATGTGGAAACTAACGGGTAAAGAACAGGCTGCATTATGAATTCCGAAGGAAATAACACAGGGAGGATAAATGAAAATGAATGTGGAAAGACCTGTGACTTCTTCTGGGATTTAAATAGCCTAGCTTGATTGTCTCCTGGTCCATGCTTATGGCGGCAATTATCTTTGGCATTGTCAATGTGACACTTTCAAGGGTCATATTCTGGTAATGAACTTCTCCGTTTACCGACACGTTTATCAGCACACACATGTCAACATTACAAAATCCCTTCCGTAATCTTCTATTCAAATAAATTACCTGTTCTTTCCAGGGTCAAACACTCATGTCTTTGAGATGAGCAATGATATTAATTTACTGAAAATAACAAATGGATAAACTAGTAAATTGAAATGGGCTCTGGGGAAATGTACAATGCATTAGTGCTGATTAGAGATAGACTCGATTTTTCTCCCTTCTCATCTTCTCAACCTTCCTAGGAAGTCTTACAGTAAGAGAATGCCTTTGAAGTTTACTTCCCACTGTCCGCTTGTACCATGAATAAGTCTGTGGGATCCTTCCATGATTCATTGGGAGTCACGTTGTGCAAGTTTTTGCTTTTATAGGGTATTTTTTATGAATTGCAAATTTATCAGATTTATCATGGCTTAAAAGTCTCTACAAGCTAGCACTTTTTTTTTTCACTACATGCCCCACTACCTCTTATTTCCTATACAAATGTACTTGATTCTTTGTCATGCTGGACTCTGGACTGTTCCTTCCTCCACTTGCTTTATAGAGACTTATCTCTGTACCTAGAAAAGCCACTCAATTTATCTTGAAAACTCATCTTTCCATACAAGTCTCAGTTTAATATCCTCTTTTCCTAGAAAATATTTCACAAAATACCAGGCTGAATTTATTGCATCATTTTTGTTTGCATTTCATCTCAAACACACTTCTATTACAACATTCAAGCCAGGCTATATGTAGCTTCTCTCTATATAAGTATTTATTCACTACACCATGAGCTCCTTGAAAGCAGGAAATGTGAATTTTTTTCTACATTTTAGACCCAACCAATCCCTAATGTCCCCGACCTTTTTGGCAATCCCCAATTCCTAATGTTCCCAACCTTTTTGGCACCAGGGACCAGTTTCATGGAAGACAATTTTTCCATGAACGAGGGGTGAGGGGGCAGGTGATGGTTTTGGGATGAAACTCTTCCACCTCAGATCATCAGTAATTAGCTAGATTCTCATAAGGAGCGTGCAATCCACATCCCTTGTATGTGCAGTTAACAGTAATGGTTCTGGTTCCTATGAGAATCTAATGCCACCACTGATCTAACAGGAGGCAGAGCTTAGGTGCTAATGCCCTCCTCATGCTCACCTCCTGTTGTACAGTCGAATTCCTAACAGGCCAGGGACCAGGACTGGCCTAGGGTTTGGGAACCCCTGCCTTATATAATAGCAACTCAATAGTTCCCCAATGTATAAATCAAAGGATAAATCAAGAGTTTTTCTCATAATTGAAAGACATAAAGTATACATACAAAAATGAATCTTTAATTTATTTATTCACATATTTATTTACTCTCTTTCTCTTTATACCAAATGTTGCACTTTATAAAAATATGCAAAAATGAGTAGCACCTGGTGCGTGACCTGGAGGAAGTCATGCTCCTATGGGGTAGCAGACATTTAAAGACCTTACTTCAGTGTATCTAGAACATCATTGATTGTAAAATGTACCATTATATTATATGCTGCTAAGAAATATGGAGTACTGCAAATGCAACTCTGACATATTATTCTTATGATATAGAATTCTTATTCACTTTCTCAGTCAACCTTCCCAGGAAGTCTTACAGTTTCTAAAGAGAATGCCTCTGAAGTTCTGTTCACACTGTCCATTCATATCGTGAATAAGCCCAAACATAAAAAAAAAGATGCAATAAACTCAGCCTGATACGTTGCAGAAAAAGCTCTTTGAGACTTAGTAAAAAAAATAAACTGGTAAGATTATTCTTAAAATTTCTGCACACTTGAAGTTTGCTTCTTTTGAACACTTTTCAACTCAGAGTTGTCAGTCTTACGTTTTATCCATGAAATATAATTATTTGTGCTCAACAGAGTTATTGATGTTGCTAAATTTGCTTTTTTAAAATCACAAAAAATAATAGCTATTCAGGAAAATTTGTAGTGTGTTCTTGTTTTTTGAATGTTGCCCACAACTTCTGATTTGTCATCTCCCTTATCCCCTCTGCAGTCAATTTGATAGTAGGAATTAAAAGTATTTTCCCCCTTTGTTTCTGGAAATTTCTTTTGAATTCTTATATTGCTGCATTTAATGTTTGTGCACGCATATGCCATAACGCCTATATTATGGCTGATGTCTAATTTACAGCAACTATAAGATGACATTGTCTAAAAGACACATCCCAAGTTTAGAGAAGTTAAAATGTTAAAAAAAGTGCATGCTAATTTCGCTAGATGAATACAAGAAACCTCTACAAGGGTAAAGAATCAGTAATGTTTACAGCCACATAGTGGAATTTGAATAAATTGGAGTGCAGAATGATTGTGATATAATTATATTATGCCTACACAAGCATTGTGGAAATAGATGACAACTTGAATTTCCAGGACTCTAGTGTAGTTTACACAGAACAGGTTAAAGATGTCATAAATATTTCAAAAATATCATCTCATGTTTAGGTAGTATGCACATATATTAAATATTGACTACTGAAAATGTTAATTCTTAATGTTATTTTTTACAAAATGAATGTTTTATGATCAAGAATATTGTACAAAGGCACATATTTGTTTGCAAAATATATTTAATTTTTAATGGTATCAGTGAAGGTAACTGTTCAAATTGGAAATATAATCCAGTTTGAAATGCAAGAAATTATAAAAAGAGCAAACTTTTAAAAAATGTTTATAATAGAAAATAACTACTACAGTTCTTAATTTGTAGATATAATCAAAGAACAGACAACTATCTCTAAATGCACATATGCCATTACCATTGCCACTTGTTCTGCAAAAAAATTAATAAAAATAGCAATAACAACAACTATCATTTATTGAGTGCCTACTATGTGACAGACACTGATCTAAGGTTGTACAAGTATTTAACTCATTTAATCCTCTCAGAAATCCCACAGATGCTATTATTTTCCTGATACTAAAGATGAGGAAATGTAATGGAGCCAAGTTGTGTGACAGCAAAGCAGAGGAGGCTCATGTGAATGCAGGACAACTGGCCAATGGGCACAGCAACCAGGTTTGTGAAGGACAGCATGGCTTGGCTGATAAACAGGGGCTTTCTAGTCAGATAAATCTGTGCTAAAATTTTGACTCACCACTTAATTATTCTGTGATTTGGAGCAATTTCTTAATTTAGCAGAATTTTAGGGACTTCATATTAAAGATGGGTTATAAGATATCAGAAAGATGGCAGAAAAAGCAGCTTTTTATTTTTATTCCCATGCAGAAGCATTAATTTTGACAACCACTCACAGACAAGAATACTTTTGTAGGAGTGTGGAAATCCAGCTGAGAAATTCTAGCTCACAAATAGGGGGAAATTATAAAAATAGATACACTGAAGAGAGTAAAAGAACAACCTTAACTTTACCCATGCCACTCTTCCTCTAAGGTGGCACAGTTCACTACACAGAGAAAACCCTCACTCAATGATTCTTCTACAGAAAATAATAAATGAGATTGTGTTGAATAAATGCCCAGACCCCTAGCCATAAGGTAACTTTCCAAAAGGTTCATGTATTTCTTAATCCATCCAGAATATTGAGATAATTAGCACAGCTGAGAGGTTGAGAAAGGCTGGGAGAAAAAAATAAAAACAGAGAGAGAGAGAGAGAGAGAGAGGAAATGGACCCTATTACCTACTCCATGGACTTAATCAGAAATTTTGGGATACTTCACCTGTGGACCTTCCCACAGCTGGATCACAGGCACCCCAAATGCTCACTGTGTCTCACTCCTCATCCCACAGGCAAGCTCTTCAAATGCATTTTTGCAGAGAGTGCAAGCCTCCCAAGTGGATGGCTGGCTTGACTCTGCAGGATTGGGAGAAGGCACAGAAATTTCAGCACTTCAGAGCACTGCTTTAGGAAAAACAAGCGGGAGGCTCTTAGCATCTGTCCTGAATTTCTAAGATTAAGAGAAGACAAAGGCTCTTCTCTCAATAATAATAATAATTATTATTGTTACTTCCAAGGAGTACCAGGTGTGAGAACATTCAAAGGAAAGGTCTCCTATAGCCTCAGTTTCCAAAATTGGACTGAGTAGTAAAGGCATGTCTCTCTCAAACCCAGTCAGTAAAGAGTGGAAGCGGCAAGTGATTCTTCAAATGTGAAGACAACAATGCAAGAGTTCAAGAAAATGAAGAACATAAAGGAAGCATGACACCACCAAGGGGACACAAAAACATTCTAGTAACTGACCTCACAGAAATGCAGATCGACTAATTGCCAAAACAGAATTTAAAATAATTGTTGTAAGGAAGCTCTGCAAGCTACAAGAAAACACAGATATCATGCAACAAAGTGACATAAAAATTGCATGATCAAAACTAGAAGTTTATTAAAAGGAAGAAATTTTTTAAAAAGTACAAAATAGAACTCTGGAGTGGAAGAATACAATGAGTGAAATGAAAAATGTCACAGGGAGCATCAACAGTAGACTTGATTAAGCAGATGAAAAAATATGTCAATTTAAGCTGGATGCAGTGGTAATCTGTAACTGTAATCCAAATTACTTGGGAGGTTGAAACGGGAGGAGGCCAGGAGTTAAAAGCTGAAGCGTATTATGATGATTCCTGTGCCACTCTACTTCACTCTGGGGAGCAATAACAAAACACAACATGTGGAGTAAACAAAGGTCATTTTATAATATTCAGTCAGAGCAGAAAAAGAATACAAATATAAAAAGAAATGAAGACCACCCATGGGATTTACAGAACACCATCTAAAGAGCTAATATCTTGTATTAGTCTTCTCTCACACTGCTCATAAAAACATACCTGAGATTGGGTAATTTATAAAGGAAAAAGGTTTAATTGACTTACAGTTCCACATGGCTGGGGAGGCCTCACAATCGTGGTGGGGGACGAAGTAAGAACAAGATGACATCTTACATGGCAGGAAAAGAGAATGTGTGCAGGGGAACTCCCATTTATAAAACCATCAGATCTCATGAGACTTATTCACTCTCATGAGAACAGCACAGGAAGACCTGCCCCCTGATTCAGTTACCTCCCATCAGGTCTCTCCTACAACATGTAGAAATTATGGGAGCTAAAATTCAAGATAAATTTGGGTGGAGACACATCCAAACCACAATATTCTGCCCCTGGTCCTTCACAAATATCATGTTCTCACATTTCAATACCAATCATGCCCTCCCAACAGCCCCCCAAAGTCTTAATTCATTTCAGCATTAACTCAAAGTCCACAATTCAACGTCTCATCTGACACAAGGTAATTCCTTTCCAGCTACGAGCCTGTAAAATCAAAAGCAAGTTAGTTACTTCCTAGATACAATGGGGGTACAGGCATTGAGTAAATACACTCATTCCAAATCAGAGAAATTGTTCAAAACAAAAGGGCTACAGGCCCCAGGAAATTCCAAAATCCAATAGGGCAGTCATAAAACCTTAAAGTTCCAAAATAATCTCCCTTGACTCCATGTCTCACATCCAGGTCATGCTGATGCAAGAGGTGGGCTCCCATGGCCTTGGGGAGCTCTGCCCCTGTGGGTCTGCAGGGTATGTCCCTCCGACCCCCAGCTGCTTTCATAGGCTGGCACTGAGTGTCTGTGGCTTTTCCCAGTGCACAGTTCAAGCTGTCAGTGGATCTACCATTCTGGGACCTGGAGGATTGTGGCCCTCTTCTCACAGCTCCAACAGGCAGTGCCCCAGCGGAGACTCTGTGTGGGGGCTCTGACCTCACATTTCCCTTCCTCACTGCCCTAGCAGAGGTTCACCATGAGGGCTCTGACCCTGCAGCACAACTCTGCCTGGACATCCAGCCATTTCCATACATCCTCTGAAATCTAGGCAGAGGTTCCCAAACCTCAATTCTTGACTTCTGTGCACCCTCTGAAGCAACAGCCTGAGCCATACATTGGCCTGTTTTAGCCATGGCTAGAGTTGAAGCAGCTGAGATGCAGGATATCAAGTCCCTATGCTGCACAAAGCAGAGGGGGGGCCTGGACCTGGTCAACTAAACCATTTTTTGCTTTTAGGCCTCTGGGCCTGTGGTGAGAGGGGCTGCTGTGAAGGTCTCTGGCATGCCCTGGAGACATTTTCCCCATTGTCTCGGTGATTAACATTTGGTTCCTCTTTACTTATGCAACTTTCTGCAGCCAGTTTGAATTTCTTCCCAGAAAATGGGGTTTTCTTTTCTATCGCATCATCAGGCTGCACATTCTCTGAACTTTTATGCTCTACTTCCTCTTGAACACTTTGCAGCTTAGAAATTTCTTCTGCCAGATACCCTATATTACCTCTCACAAGTTCAAAGTTCCACAGACCTCTAGGGCAGGGGTAAAATGCCACCAGTCCCTTTGCATAGTGAGTGTAACCTTTACTCCAGTTCCCAACAAGTTCCTCTTCTCCATCTGAGACCACCTCCACCTGGACTTCATTGTCCATATCACTATCAGCATTTTGGTCAAAACCATTCAACAAGGCTCCAGGAAACTCCAAACGTTCCCATATTTTCCCGTATTTTTCTGAGCCCTCCAAACTGTTCCAACCTCTAAACTATTACCCAGTTCCAAAGTCACTTCCACATTTTTGGTATGTTTACATCAGCACCTACTACCCAGTACCAATTTACTTTATTAATCTGTTCTCATGCTGCTAATAAAGGCATACCTGAGACTGGGCGATTTATATAGGAAAGAGGTTTAATTGACTTACAGTTCCACATGGCTAGGGAAGCCTCACAATCATGGCAGAAGACCGAGCAACAGGACATCTTACATGGCGGCAGGCAAAAGACAGTGTGTGTAGGGGAACTCCCCATTATAAAATTATCAGCTCATGAGACTCACACACTACCAAGAGGACAGCAGGAAAAGACCTGCCCTCATGATTCAATTACCTTCCACCAGGTTCCTCCCACAACACATGGGAATTATGGGAGCTATAATTCAAGATGAGATTTGGGTGGAGACACAGTGAAACCATATCACATCTGAATTAGGAAATTAAGAAAAAAGAAAAGAAAAAAGGAGAATAAGTTTATTTTAAGGAGCAGCAAGCTTATTTTAATGGCCGAAAACTTCCTTCTCTTCCTGGAAGAGATATGGACATTTAGGTACATGAAGCTGAAAAGTTTCCAAACAGATTCAATCCAAAGAAGACTTTACCAAGACATATTATAATCCAACTGTCCATTCTAGGACCTTTTTGGATGAGTCTTTAGAGTTTTCTAGGTATACAATCATATCATCAGCAAACAGTGACAGTTTGACTTCCTGTTTACCTATTTGGATGCCCTTTATTTCTTTCTCTTGTCTGACTGCTCTGGATAGGACTTCCAGTTCTGTGTTAAATAGAAGTGGTGAAAGTGAGCATCTTTGTCTTGTTCTAGTTCTCAGGGGGAATGCTTTCAACTTTTTCTCATTCAGTTTAATGTTTACTGTGGGTTTGTCATAGATGGCTCTTATTATCTTAAGGTATGTCCCTTCTATGTTGATTTTGCTGAGGGTTTTAACCATAAAGTGCTGCTGGATTTTGTCAAATGCTTTTTCTCCATCTTTGAGATAATCATGAGATTTTTGTTTTTAATTCTGTTTATGTGGTATATTACATTTATTGAGTGTGTTAAACCATCCCTGTGTCCCTTATATGAAACCCACTTGATCATGGTGGATTATCTTTTTCTTAAATGCTGTTGGATTCAATTTGCTAGTATTTTGTTGAGGATTTTAGCATCTATGTTCATCAGAGATAATGGTCTGTAGTTTTTGTTGTTGTTTGTTTGTTGTTATATCATTGTATTGATATTAGGGTGATATTGGCTTCATAGAATGATTCAGGGAGGATTCCTTCTTTCTCTATCTTTTGAAATAGTGCCAATAGGATTGGTACTAATTCTTCTTTGAATATCTGATAGAATTCAGCCGTGAATCAGTCCGTTACTAGACTTGTTTTGTTGATAATTTTTTATTATCATTTCAATCTCGCTGCTTGTTATTGGTCTGTTCAGACATTCCATATCTTCCTGGTTTAATATAGGAGGTTTGTATGTTTCCAGGAATTTATCCATCTCCTCTAGGTTTTCTAGTTTATGCACATAAAGGTGTTCACAGTGGTCCTGAATAAACTTTTGTATTTCTGTGGTATCTGTAGTATTATCTCCTGTTTTGTTTCTAATTGAGCTTATTTGGATCTTCTGTCTTCTTTTCTTGGTTAATTTTCTTAATGATCTATCAATTTTATTTATCTTTTGAAGGAACCAGCGTTTTGTTTCATTTATATTTTGAATTGTCTATTTTCTTTCAATTTCATTTAGTTCTGTTCTGATCTTTGTTATTTCTTTTTTTCCACTGTGTTTGGGTTTTCATTGTTCCTGTTTTTCCAGTTTCCTAAGGTGTGACCTCAGGATACAAAATTAATGTACACAAATCAGTCACTCTGCTATATACCAAGAGCGACCAAGCTAAGAATCAAATTGATATCTCAACCCCTTTTTTAATAGCTGCCATAAAAAAACCACATAGGAATATACCTAACCAAGGACATGAAAGACCTCTACAAGAAAAACTAAAACTACTGAAAGACCGCTACAAGAAAAGACCTCTACAAGGAATACTAAAACTGCTGAAATCATAGATGACAAAAAATAAATAGAAAGTGATATAGTTTGGCTGTGTCCCCACCCAAACTTCATCTTGAATTGCAATCCCCATAATCCCACGTGTCATAAGAGGGAATTAGTGGTAGGTAATTGAATCATGGGAGTGGCCTTCCCCATGCTGTTCTCATGATAGTGAGTGAGTTCTCTCATGAGAGCTGATGGTTTTATAAGCTTCTGGCATTTCCCCTGGTGGCACTTATTTTCTCTCCTGCTACCCCAAGAAGAGGTGCCTTCTGCCAAGTTTCCTGAAGCCTCCCCAGCCATGTGGAACTGTGAGTCAATTAAAGCTCTTTTCTTTATAATTAACCCAATCTCAGGTATTTCTTCATAGCAGAATGAGAACGGACTAATACAGAAATGCCTCCCATGCTCACAGATGGGTAGAATTGATATTGTAAAATTGACCATACTGCCAAAAGAAATATATATATTTGATGCAATTCCCATCAAAATACCACCATCATTCTTTACAGAACTAGAAAAAAAATCCTAAAATTCATATGGAACCAAAAAAGAGCCCACATAGCCAAAGCAAGGCTAAACAAAAAGAACAATTCTGGAGGCATTACATTACCTGACTTCAAACCTATACTATAAGGCCATAACAACAAAAACAGCATGGTACTGGTATAAAAATAGGCACACAGACCAATGGAACAGAATCAAGAACCCAGAAATAAAACCAAATACTTACAGCCAACTGATTTTTGACAAAGCAAACAAAAACTTCAAGTGGGGAAAGAACACCCTATTCAACAAATGGTACTGGAATGACTGGCAAGCCACTGTAGAAAAATAAAACTGGATCTTCATCTCTCACCTTATACCAAAATCAACTTATGATGGATCAAAAACTTAAATCTAAAATCTGAAACCGTAAAGATTCTGGAGGATGCCATTAGAAAAACCCTCCTACACATTGGGTTAGGCAAAGACTTCAAGACCAAGAACCCAAAAGCAAAAGCAACAACAAAAAAATAAATAGATGGGACTTAATTAAACTAAAACCTTCTGCACAGCAAAAGAAATAACCAGCAGAGTTAACAGATAACCCACAGAGTGGGAAAAAAATCTTCACAATCTATACATCTGACAAAGGACTAATATCCAAAATCTACAAAGAACTCAAACAAATCAGTGATAGAAAAACAAACTAACCCATCAAAAAGTGAGCTAAAGACATGAATAGGCAATTCTTAAAAGGAGATATATAAATGGCCAACAAGCATATGGAAAAAAAACGCTCAACATCACTAATTATCAGGGAAATGGATATCAAAACCACAATGCAACACTACCTCACTCCTGCTAGAATGGCCATAATAAAAAAAATAGATGTTGACCGACATGTAGTGAAAAGGGAATAATTTTACATCGTTGGTGGAAATATAAACTAGTGCAACCACTATGGAAAACAATGTGGAGATTCCTTTAAAAACTAAAAGTACATATATTTGATCCAGCAATCCCAATCCCTACATGATGAAAAAAAGCCATTACATGAAAAAGATACTTGCACATGCATGTTTATAGCAGCACAATTTGCAATTGCAAAATTATGGAACCAGCCCAAATGCCCATCAATCAACAAATGGATAAAGAAAAATGTGAGATATATATACACATACACCATGGAATACTACTCAGCCAAAAAATAATTGAAATAATGGCATTTCCAGCAACCTGGATGAAACTGGAGACTATTATTCTAAGTGAAATAACTCTGGAATGAAACACCAAACATTGTATATTCTGACTCATATCTGGGAGCTAAGCTATGAGGATGCAATGGCAAATTGGACTTTGGGTGCTCAGGGGTAAAGAGCTGGGTGTGGTGAGGAATAAGAGACTACACATTGCATACAGTGTACACTGCTGGAGTGATGAGTGCATCAAAGTCTCAGAAATCACCAGTAAAGAACTTATTCTTGTAACCAAACATGACCTATTCCCCTAAAACCTACTGAAATAAAAAAATTTAGAAAAAAAGAATATAAATATTACTTTATAAATCAGTAATAAACTAGTGATGTCCATACAAAAAATCAAACTTTCAAATATCAAAGACAAAGAGAGATATTTAAATCCAGCAAGGCAAAAAGGAATACAAGAAATACAAAAATGGCCATAGGTTATTAGATATTTTAGCAGAAGCCTTGCAAGTCAGGAGAGAGTAGGGTGACATATTGAAAGTGCTGTGACAAAAAAAAAAAAAATGCCTGTCAAACAAATTTTACCTGGAAAAGCTTTTCTTCAAAAATGAAGAGACAGGACAATAGGGCAACTATAGTTAATATGAATTCATTATATATTTTGAAAAAGCTAGAGAGAGGATTATGAATGTTTGAAACACAAAGATGTGATGAATATTTGGGGTGATGGATATTCCATTTATCTTGATTGGATAATTACACATTGCATGCATATATAAAAAAAACTCATGTGCCCCATAAATATATGCAGCTATTATATATCAATAAGCAATGACAGAGAGATAAAGACTTCTTGATTTTACAGAAAAAGAAAAGCTTAGGAGTTTATTATCATTATATCTGCTGAACAAAAAAATGCTAAAGGGAATCATTCAAGCAGAAGCAAAAAGATGTTAATTAGTAACACAAAATCATATGAAAATATAAAACTCACTGGCAAAGACAAGAACATAATCAAATTCAGAACACTATAATTCTATAACGGTGGTGCATAAATCACAACTTCAGCAAAATATTAAAGACAAAAACAGTAAAATAACTACAGCTACAATAATTTGTAATGGGACAAACTATATATAAAATGTAAATTGTGTAAACTAAAACAAAATATGGAGGCTGAGGTAAGTAAAAGTGTAGGATTTTTATGGGCAATTGAAAATAAATTGTTATCAGCTT